>NW_025791777.1:1791212-1946398 GCF_000001405.40 Homo sapiens | reverse complement strand
GAGCCACCACGCCCGGCCTATACTTGTCTTAATTCAAATAAATATATCACTTATCACTTGGACATCTTTATGTGAAAAATCAGACTGAAGGTTTATTTTATAAATATGTTTGTGTATGTGCATCTATGTGTATGCGTATGAAACTTATTTGTGGTCTTCACCAAAAACAGTGAAAACATAAATAAATAATGTAAAAATTACTATCAGTGAAAAATGTAATTTAAGTCCACGGTGTATCAATCAATCCATTAACAAGAAGGGATGTTCTATTGACTAAGGGATGTTATGTGGTTTTGTTCCCCCATCAAAATGCTACAAATGCTTTTCTTCCCAATGATTCCTTACTAACATAAATAGAAGGCAACATCAAAATCCTGATTCTCCTCCCTTACCTTCTCTTTTCTCAATTCTTCTTTTAACATTTCCCTCAGTTTCTGGGCTTTGTATATTCGGTATCTGTCTGAGCATGGCTGTTTCTCTTTTGTTGAAGTGGCAGTTGGCTGTGGAGCCTCTTGATTAATTGTAGATAAGGGATGAGATTCTGAAGGAACACTGACACTAGACTTAACCAGGCTAGAAGTACTTGATATTCGCTTTCTTCTCTGTGAAACAGTAGAGGAAGATCTACTGGATTCTTCAACATCATTGTCACCACCAGTCTTTTCAGTACTGTTGAAATTAAAAAAGAAAAAAGAGGGCACATGAATCTTCTGTTACACATGCTAGTTTTAAAACCTAGTCTGGTGAAAATCCAAAACTGCAATCTCGTAATTAAAAAAAAAAAATTAGTAACTTGAGATTTATGATAATTATGACAGGTTACAAAAAAATTTGTTTAGTAAATCTTTTAAATATACGTAAATTCTAATAGACTCTTAATCTTTTTCAAACATAAAGTCCCTAGGCACATTAGAGCACATAATTATAGGCTTACCCCCCTCAAAACAAATAACCAACTTACAGAACAAAGCTTAGTCAACCTAATTTGAATTACTAAGTAACAAAGTAATAATTTATAATTAATTTCTATATAAAATTTAAAAAAATTTTAATTCACTCTGACATTTTAAACTGGTCTAAACTACCGGCATTTTACTTTACTTATCAACCCGAGGTCAGTCAAATCAAATATGCAAAACTTCAAACCTCTGAAATATCTGTATTGCAGTATTTGAAGAAAAACATTTAGTTACAGTAGCCAAACCCAATTCCCTTTGAGGCAGAAATCATTTATCTTTTGTCAGGTACAACTCTACTTATACAGCCATCAGAATAAACTTCAGTCAAAAAAAGTACTCAGTCACCCCAAATTGCATATTAGGTATGGTATACCTCAGATATAAGTATTTCAGGAATGGTCTATAAATGCAACTTAAGTCAAGAAAAGAGGTGGTATAAGTCAATAATTAAAAACAGTCTACTTTTTTCCTATTTTATAATTACTTATAAAAAATTAGAAAATGCCTTAACTTATAGAATAACCTTTCCAGGAAGACTTCAATTTAAATTCGTATCTTAGCTGTTATGGATACATGCATTATCTGCATTTCACCCAATTATGTTGAATGCATAATGACAGAATATATATCCTATAGAGTTTTACAACTAGCAAAGACCCACAAAAAAATAAAAAGAGGCTGGGCACGGTGGCTCACACCTGTAACCCCAGCACTTTGGGCTGAGGCAGGTGGATCACTTGAGGTCAGGAGTTCGAGTCCAGCCTGGCCAACATGGTGAAACCCTGTCTCTACTGAAAATACAAAAATTAGTTGGGCGTGGTGGGGCACGCCTGTAGTCCCAGATACTTGGGAGCCTGAGACAGGAGAATTGCAAGAACCCGGGAGGTGGAGGTTGCAGTGAGCCGTACCACTGCACTTCAGCCTGGGCGACAGAGCAAGACTCCATCTAAAAAAAAAACTAATTAAAAAAAAAAAAAAAAACCACTTTCCCAGAGTCAGTAATGGCAAAAAAAGTGACTAAAAAACAAATTATATTCCCCAAACGTAAATGTCAACTCAAAAAAAAAAATTAAATATCCTTGACCATAAATATCTCAAAACTACAATCTTTGGGCAATTTATTAAATTATCAACCATCACGCACTCACACATAATTAACGAAATCTCTGAGAACTTTATTAATGTAACAGCGACTAGTATCGGTATCTCCTTTCTGTGTAGAAATTTTGAAACAGATTCATGTAATAAACTTGGAAATTACTAACCATCACTGAACTATCAACGTAACACCATACACTCAGCACCAGTTCAGGCCAATAGAGGAAGATGTTCCAAAAATAAATAAATTTTTCACCTTCCTATCACAGCATAAACAGAATTTGTACTATCTCACTTCACTTAACAAGGCTGTTTACTGATTTCCTCATATATATAGAAACAGAGACCATCTTAGCCTAACATGTCTTAAATTTACTCCATCACCTTTCTAAAAAACTAGTAACTTTTTGCGGGCAACTATTCTGCTATATCCCCTGCAAGGTAGTTAATATGAATTATCTCCAATCTGCACCAAAACGCTCCAAGTAGGCAATATTATTCCCATTTTGCAGATGAGCAAATTCTGCCTGAGAAAAGTTTACCTGTAGACTAAAAGAGTCCTGAATCCAAATATGATACATGACGCTAAAGCCATGCTTCTCTATTCAGGAAACACGGTCACCATAGTTAAAGAGGCACACTTCAATTAAGTGACCAGAACTCTTACTCACTGACATAAATCGGTAAAGCCAAAGCAATACTTATCTTCTCCTTTAAAAAATAAATATTTTATAAATTGAAAGACAAAAACACTTCCCTGCAAAGCACTCCAGAAGGATGAAAACTATAGTGACCTAAATTCTCAAATGAATAGTGTGGATATTCTTCACTTCAGGACTGCCATACCCCGATTCTCCCTACCACCACTTGAAGACATGGTCTCCTCTCGGAGAATCTATAGACCGTGACAAAATCCACACAAGCCACACCCTGCAGGTCAGACAACTAAACTGCAGTTTGGAGTGGTTTCATCAAGCCTCAACTGAAAGGCTTACTGCAAACGAGAGCGGACTCCTGTGATAAAATTCATTTGCTCAGCTTCCAGGTGACATGCCCGGAGAGGCGGGACAAATGAAAATTCTTCCCTCTGCAACCTCTTACCTGCTCCTAGGAGCCTTTTCTTGGGGCTCCGCTCCACCGAAATCGACTGTGGGCACATCTGTGGGCTCCGCGGGCTTGGAAGCAGAGTCCGTGGCAGGCTCCGGCGGCCTGGGAGACTCCCGTCCACGCTGGGGATTGGAAGCTGTGGAGCCCCTGGCGCCTACACCAGGCCTGACATTCGGCTTCACGCTAAGGCGTGCCCTGCGGAACATGGCGGAGGCAGGGGGCCCGGGGAGGCAGCCTCACGGCCGCTCACAGCCCCGAGCCCCGGCGGCTGCCCGGAAAGGGGATTAGGAACTACGCCCTCCCCACAAAGCCACACCACCAGCTCAGGGGGCAGCTACCGTAGTTTCACTGCCCCGCCGCCGCCTCCTCCTCTCTCCCGCCGCCGCCGCTTTTTCATGACCCTGCCACACACCGATGGCTAAATTTCACCCTCCTCCCAGCATCCCCGCGCTCACAGGACGCCGCAACTGATTGCGCCATCAGCCAGCGCCGCAGAATGACGTCAGACGCACAGCACTGGGAGCCATGGTAACTACCAAGCTACTGAGACTGGGTTACCTGCGGACCAGAAATTGAGATGCAGAGATATTTGCTCTTTCTTCTCCAGGAGTCCTTAGGAGTAGTTGAAAAGAGGAACAGAAGAAAGTCCACTTCTCTGCTCAAACCTTTACTGGAACTATTAAAATCGCTGGCCGATTTTGTCTTTTGAAGATCCTGAAGGGTTTAGAAATTCTAAATTGAGTAGACATAGATTAAAAATGCTGGTGTGAAGAAACTGATAATAGTTACCTCCCAGGAGAGGAATGTGTTTCTGGAAAACACGTCGTGGTAGGAAGACCATTTACCGTACGCCTTTGTGTACTTTTTTGTTTTTGTCCTTTGAGACAGGGTCTTGCTCTGTCGCCTAGGCTGGAGTGTGCAGTTGCGCGATCTTGGCTCACTGCAGCCTCCACCTCTCGGGCTCAGGCGATCCTCCCGTCACAGCCTCCCAAGTTGCTGGGACCACAGGCACGCGCCACGACACCCGGCTAATTTTTTTTTTCTCGTATATTTAGTAGAGACGGGGTTCATCATGTTGCTTAGGCTGATCTTGAACTCCTAGGCTCAAGCGAGCCACCCATTTGGCCTCCCAAAGTGCTGGGATTACAGACGTGAGCCACCACGCCCAACCTCCTTGTGTACTTTTTAATATGAATGTATCACCCGAGATCGTACCACTACACTCCAGCCTGTTTAAAAATTATTATAGTTGAAACCTTGTAAATTATTGTGAGTGTTCTTAATCTGCTTCAGGAGGTAGCAGTAAACAAGACATTCTGGATTTGGGAGGAGAAAATACAAAAAAGAAATGAACAAGATATTTTTAAAATGTATCAGGCCCGGCGTGGGTGCCTCATGCCTGTAATCCCAGCATTTTAGGAGGCTAAGGCAAGGCAGATTGCTTGAGGTCAGGAGTTCGAGACCAGCCTGGCCAACATGGTTAAACTCCATCTCTACTAAAAATACAAAAATGAGCCAGGCCTGGTGGTGCAAGCCTGTAATCCCAGCTATGGGAGGCTGAGACAGGAGAATGGCTTGAACCCTGGAGGTGGAGGCTGCCGGGAGCCAAGATGGCACCACTGCACTCTAGCCTAGGCAACAGAATGAGTGAGACTCTGTCTTAAAATAAATGAATTAATTAATTAATTGCAATAAAATAAAGTATATCAAATGTCATGAAATAAATTTAAGGGTTGAATGCCGGGTATGGCGAGGCACGCCTATAATCCCAGCTACTGTGGAGACTGAAGTGGGAGGATCTCTTGAGCCCAAGACTTCCAGACCAACCTGCTCAAAATATTGAGACCCCTAAAACAAATTACCTACATGCGGTGGCTGTGATGGCTCCCACCTCTAGCTCCAGCTACCTGGAAGGCTGAGGCAGGAGGTCCAGGCTGCAGTGAGCTATGATAGTGCCACTGCCCTCCAGCATGGGTGACAAAGTGAAACCTTGTCCTTAAAACAAAAATTTAATAATAAGAAGAAAAAAAAGAGAGAAATGTACAGGATGATGTGATAGAAAGTAATGGGAGGGAGGCTGGCAGTAGAGTGGCTAGGGAAGTCCTCTATGATGAGAGGAAAAATAGCCAGAGCTGAGGTTGGCCTTGGAGGTATTGGGCCAATGTGTGAACCAGTGATACAAATCCCCTGACTCATGGGAACACAAAGGCCTGACTTTCTTCTTAGAAGGAAAAGAAAATCCTACAAGAATATGGTGATACATTAATAACAAAAGGTCAAAGGAATAAAATTCTGAACTGACTGAAGAAATTGATCACCTAAAGGGAGAACAAAAAAGAGGCAAGTGCTTTTGAGAGTAGGAAGGCAAGACTGAAAGCAGAGAAGAGAAAACATATATCTCTAAGACTATGAAGAAAATGAAGGTCTGGAGGCCAGGCACAGCTCGTGCCTGTAATCCCAGCACTTTGGGAGGTTGAGGCAGGCGAATCACTTGAGCCTAGGAGTTTAAGACCAGCCTAGCCAACATGGTGAAACCTCATCTCTACCAAAATTACAAAAATTAGCTGAGCATGGTGGCTTCTGCCTGTAATCCCAGCTACTCAGGAGGCTGAGGTTGGAGGATTGCTTGAGCCCAGGAGGCGGAAGTTGCAGTGAGCCAAGATCACACCACAGCACTACAGCCTGGGTGACAAAGTGAGACCCTGTCTCAAAAAAAAAAAAAAAAAAAGAGAGAGAGAAAGAAAGGAAGGAAGGAAGGAAGAGAAAAGAGGAGGTCTGTGGATTCCGTGGGCTCCCTGCAATACTCTGGAAAAGGAACAGTATCTCAGTTTTATCTTCTTTATTTAAAGAAGCTCAAGAATTCGAGAGAATACCCTGCTAAAGATGTCTCAGGAATCTTGGAGCCACTGCCAGGTCTACACAGCTTTGAACAGCATATTCTGATACCAACTGAAGACACAGGGCCTTTCCCCAGATGGTCTTCTGTTCCACTTAAGAGACTAGGGCATTGTCCCAAGTTTTTACAGGTCAGAAAGTAAATAGTGACTAAGATTTAATTTCCCACCAGTAAAGGGATGGGAACAGAATCAGATTAAATTTTATTATTAAATATAAAGTCATAAGACATTTGTTACACAAGTTTGTGGAGTAAATTCTTAGTGGCATCATACGAATTTTTTAAATCTCTACTTTTCTCTGAGAGACACACACAACACATTTTGTGTACATGGGGTATATCATGTGTAGCCCTACAACTTAAGAACTGCAAAATTTCAGCTGCAAAGAAAAATGTTCAATTAGATTAAATTGAGAGCACGTACAAAAACAACTCTACTACTCACCGGCCGGGCGCGGTGGCTTGCGCCAGTAATCCCAGCACTTTGGGAGGCCGGGACAGGCGGATCATGAAGTCAGGAGATCGAGACCATCCTGGCTAACACGGTGAAACCTCATCTCTACGAAAAAAAATACAAAAAACTAGCTGGGCGTGGTGGCGGGTACCTGTAGTCCCAGCTACTTGGGAGGCTGAGGCAGGAGAATGGCGTGAACCCAGGAGGCAGAGCTTGCAGTGAGCTGAGATCGCACCACTGCACTCCAGCCTGGACGACATAGGGAGACTCCGTCTAAAAAACAAAACAAAACAAACAAAAAAACTCTACCACTTACCTTCCAATCCCACCCCATTCCCTCTTTAGATGACCTTATCTCTATAAAGAACTGTGCCAGAGGTTGGAATGGTTGAAATCTCATGCTTGAAATCCCAGCACTTTGGGAGGCCGAGGCAGACAGATCACACGAGGCCAGGAGTTCAAGATCAGCCAGGCCAACAAGGCAAAAAACCGTCTCTACGAAAAATACAAAAATTAGCCGGGGCAGGGTGGCAGCCGCCTGTAATCCCAGCTACTGGGAGACTGAGGCACAAGAATCGCTTGAACCTGGGAGGCTGAGGCTGCAGTGTGCGGAGATTGCGCCAGTGTACTCCAGTCTGGGCAACAGAGTTAGATACTGTCTCCAAAACAAAACACGGTGCCAGAAAGTCAATCTTTTCCCTTCAAGTTACTTCACTAAGTGGAAGCAGAGGCTAGCAGTATTAAGGAAGAGAGGTGGGGTGTGGGGATAGGATAGTGATGTGTGCGAGGCTCTCTGAATTTGAAAGAATAATGACAGTAAGAGCTAACATATTGAGTTCTACCATATGCTGGGGACCTAGTACTTCACATACGTTAATTCAGTTAATGAAGAAGGTACATACCTCCCCATTTTACAGGTAAGAACGCTTTAACATAATGAAATACTGTCCAAGTTGACACAGCTACTAATTAGTAGAGATGGACTTTCAACCGAGACAGTTCATCTCCAGAGCTCCTCAGTCTTCACTTTCTCCACCTTCTCTAAAATAGACGATTTTATGAGGTAATAATTGAAGTTTGGTCGCATCTCCTTGAGGATTCGTTATCCTTGTTACTAATGCTTTTGTACTGTATAAATTTCAGATCTTCCAAAATAAAAGTTTTTAAAATATAGGGCAATGTGGGGTATCCAAATCATCTCAGTTTGTAACAATGTTATCGTTTTGTTTTTATTTTTATTTATTTATTTTTTTTGAGATAGAGTCTCACTCTGTCGCCCAGGCTGGAGTGCAGTGGCGCGATCTCGGTTCACTGCAAGCTCCGCCTCCCGGGTTCACACCATTCTCCTGCCTCACTCATCCTCCCCAGCAGCTGGGACTACAGGCGCCGGCCACCACGCCCAGCTAATTTTTTGTATTTTTGTATTTTTTTTTTTTTAGCAGAGGCAGGGTTTCACCGTGTTAGCAAGGATGGTCTCGATCTCCTGACCTCGTGATCCACCCGCCTCGGTCTCCCAAAGTGCTGGGATTACAGGCGTGAGCCACCGCGCCCGGCCTCTTTTTGTTTTTATTCTTTTGTGTGTGTGTGTGTGTGTGTGTGTGTGTGTGTGTGTGTGTATAACAATGAAAGAGATGAAGTAATTATACGCTACATGAGCCACAGAAGCATCTCTACACGTGTTTCTACCAATGGCAGATGGTCCACAGCTTTTACTAGGTTCCGAGGTTATTCTGGGCTATTCTGAATTGTGGTTAAGACTGCACTCCCTGCCATTCTCTCCCCACCAAACAACCTAAGCACAGTCAGTAGCCTAAAACTCCTGAAGCACTGTGGATCGTGACAAGGGCACTGGAATAAACTGGAAAATAAATATGCTTTAGAGTCCGTCTTAAATTTTATTCTCATATCAATTCCTACGCAGTTAAGTCTGTCTCTTATGCAAAATGAAAACAATGAAGCCTAACTTGCAGAGTTGTGTTTAGAATAAGGAAGGAAAATATGTAAAGGACAGTGCCTTTTGCAGTTACCCTCAATCTGTTCAGTCTCCATCCGCCCCTCTCCGCCTCCGCAAGGGGATGAATGAAAGCTAATGTGCTTTGCCAAAAAGTAAGATATTGTAGTGTTTATTGTGATTTCCTATTAAAAAAAAAGTGGGGAGCTGGTGGAGCCCCTGTGCCTGGCGCACAGTGGGGAAAATCCACACACGCCTATCCCTCCGGCAGAACAGAACCCGCTTTCTGGGCTCTCGCTGGGCTCTCCCAGGCGTGTGTAGCAGCAGGGCTCCCGGCGCCGCCAAGTCTCCACGGGCTTCGGTTCTCGTTATAAGAAACGTGTTATAATTATTTTAAAACATTTAAAGAATATTCTTGACCTTAGCAGTTTTTTTATCTACTCCATTTACAATTTCAAATCAATAATTTCTGGCTGATTTTTTAATTACTCGAACTATGAAATCAACACATCCTTGCTATAATGTTATTTATAGTATAAAGTAAGTTGTTTGGGGCACCGAAGGGTGTGAGAAGGGAGAAAACATGTATTTGCAGACAATAATTCCTTCTTAATTGCTTGATTATTTCTGAATTAGGTAGAAAGAACATCACAAATTATTAGTCAAATAGATGTATTTTCATAACTGACTGAAATCCTAGAGATAATATAGTTTAATTTCCTCAAATTTTCCAATGAAATTATTAAATAGAAGCTTTTTAAATGGCTTCGGGTTAGAAAACTACTCACTGCTAGAATTTTGACTATAGTCTAAGTTTTCTGATATCCAGTTTAGCTTTCTTTTTTATCTAAAATTTCATCTTATCTTAAACTCATGAGTATATGTGCGTGAAACCGGAATCAAAAATAAAAATTTCTCTTGAAGGCTGGTGAGTTTAGTCATTCAGCCTCCATGATTTAGACATAAGCAGAAATATGTATAATACATGAGAATCTGTTAGCATTCAGCAAACCTCTGTGTGATAGTATTAGCTTGATGCTGCTGCTGCAAGATCAATTTGTTATTAGTTAGGTGGCTTGTTTATGTATATGTATTTATAGATCCATTTAAAATAATTAACGGTAATTTTTCAAGGTCTGTTCAGATAAACCACCACAAACAGTGGTAGGGAGGTAATAGCTGAATCTACATTGGTATACAGAAGCAAGATTCTATTTGTGTAAGAATCATAAGACTAATATTTGGGAAATATCTTCATATATCCCCAATTTAAATAATAATAGCCAAGATCAGGAAAAGTCTGTAGGAAATCTAAGGGTTGTTATTCCAGTATACATAAATCACAAGTTCCCTGTCAGCTCAGAGTAATTTTTTCTTCAATAAATCATAATCACAATTTACACTGTTTGGAACAAACCTAAGTAAATGAAGAAAGACTGGCTTCTGTTTATATAGCCACTTAAGATCCTTTTTGACAAAAAGATGACTCAGATAAACATATTTATTTGACATAGTGGGGAGCAATAGGACTTATGTAAAAAGGAAGACATTAGGTTTTCCACTATCGAACACCAAAGGACAATCACTTGCTCTTTTTATTCCTCATCACTAACATATGAGAAAAATACTTATGGTAACCTATTTCACAGGATTCCCGTAAGAATCAAATGAGAGAATAAGTTCTTGGCAAAGTTTAAATGTTGCATTAGTTTGCATTATCATCATTTATTTTATTAAACATCTTGAAAGAGTGTGGTCACAATGCTTCTGTGTAAAGTTATGGATGTGTCTGAGAATTTCAAAGAGCCATATGAAATGATAGGATTCATGTGACTTTTAAGAAACCTGTAGATAAAGCATGAACAAATCAGAGATAAACTTTAGCTCCCTAGTACATTTGAGCTTTGCTGTTACATTATGCCACTTGGAGAACTAGGAGAGTAAAAATCATCATAATTTTGGCCTAATATATTTTTATGACTGTTCTTGAGATATTCATTTACTTAGAGTGGAGCTATTTTCTTGTTTTAAAAAAGCAATAATTATTATATTTGAGTGGGAGAGCAAATGAATTGCAGAAGGGATTTTTAAAAATTTGAAATTGAGTAATTTGTGCTAATGGAATTATATATTTGGAAGCTCTGGATGGAATCTATTTTTTAGCCTAAAGTTTTTTTTGTGAATTTTTTTCTGCTAAATCATACATAACTTTTAATAGCAGAACTGTTACAATAGTTTATCAGTTATAAAATGGTTTTTAAAGATGTGAAAATGATTTTTGTTAATCATAAAATCTAGAAAATGTTCCCATTCTGTTGGAAGTAGGGATTTTGATCAGTTTTAACATTTGGGAACTTCCAAATATTTGTTAATTTTATAGTTACAGTAACCTGACTTTTAGTGGTGGGTTTCTTCTGTACTGACTATGCAACATTGGCAAATTTGCTTAACTTCTCAGAGCCCTAACTTAATTAATTAAAAAAATAAAATATTATAATGTCTGCTTAATAGAATTGGACTAAGGGGTTCATGGATAGCTATAGCTGAAGTGCATGCCAGTCACTTACTACACAGCAAGCATGTAATAGACAGTACCTGTTATTTTCATGTGACTACGGTCTCCCCTCACTCCTCCAACAAAATGGTCTTATTTTGCTTTGTTCTTCATGTGTGTAGTTTCACATAAAATCAATTAGTGTTCCAACATAGGTTAAAAAAACTACTGAAGAGTCATCATACTCTCTGTAGAAACCATTCAGGGTTTTGAAAGACCTCTGGATTTTATGAGAACAGAAAGGCTGATTATTTGGAAATGTCATCAGGGCAGTCTCATGGAGTTGGAGTTTCCAGATAGAACCCATCTACTATGGCACAGAGTTTCGTGTGCACCTGTTTTAGTTGGTGATGATGATTGCAGGTTGGCTGGCAGGGTTCAGGAAAATAAGCCGTGTCTTAATGTTTTAATAAGTTTTAAAAATAGTTCACAATTTAAGATCCTCAGAATGGGACTTAGACCAATATGAGAAACGGAGTGCTTTAATTGCATGACCAACTACACATTAGAGCCCTGGAATCTATCCCACTGTTATTTACAAGTATTGTGTTAAAGACTAGTTGGAACCCTCTCAGGAGAAATTAGCAGTTACATTTTCTTATTTTTACAATTTATGCTCAAGGTGCATTTACTTCGATGTAAGCAGCCTCTTTTCTACTATAACACTCTCATGCCAATCTAAAATTGGACAATGGGTTTCCTGCTTTACAGCAGCAAAAATTGTTCTCCCTCTCCTGAAGTGGTTGACTGGGTTTCTTCACATTCGGCTGTCACCCTCCACCAGCTGAGGGAGCAAGAGACCTCTGCATGGGAGGCTACAGCCCCACCTCCTGGGTCTCCTGCAGGGCCGTCTCCGTTTTCAGAGTAGGATGAGTACCTGCCTTAGTAACAGCAATTCAGTTACCCTGAAGTTTTACTTTGTCCAAAAAGTTTCACCAAGAGCTTGTATTTTAATGAGATACTTTAAAAATATATTTGGGAATGTATAAGGCAAACGGATTCTCTATTATTTATACTTAGTGCATTCGCCTACTGAAATTTGAGGGTTTTCTAAGATATATATAAATATCACAATGTAAATATAGCTTCTCGCTCTTCCTCTCTCTCTTTCTCACACACACACGCAAGCACACGCACCCACCCACACACGCACACACACATCAAGGAAATGCCATATGTCCCAAGTGAGGCCCACTGGAAAAAAACAAAAGTGCTGAACATATCACTCAGGATCATTGTGAGAGGACAGTCGTCAGCTTTCTCTCTGGCAATGAGAATTTTCTCACCCTCAAGACATGCAAATTACTTTTTTCATCTGTTCTTTTTATGTTATTTGCATAATTTTCTCCTGCAAAAGTGAGAGCTGTCAAAAATTAACCATTTGGGGCTTTGGCATTCAGTTATGTGACCTTTTCCAGAGAGTTAGATCTCTTCAGGGAACTAGGAACTTGATGAGGAAGTGCTGAGAAGGTGATCAGTGGCAGAAAGAGCGGATGACGGATGGGGACCAGCAGGTTGGTAACGGCACATAACTACGTTTAAAAAGTTGTTAGATATTTTCGATCCTCTCATATGCTTGTTTGTTTTTGTTTTAGTAAATCAGTGTTTCAACAGATAATCAAAGAGATGATTCGGTTAGGTGTAGTGCTGTATTCTCCTACGTTACTCTGGTTAATGGTACAATGCAAACATTTTTTGCAAGTTTAATGCTAATTGAAAATGCCGTTTGGAAAACTACACAAGCAAGGCTGTGTTCATGCCGTGGTTTGAGTGCTTGTGTCTGTAGCAATCTGCCAAATATGCTTATTTAGTATGAATACTTCCTTTTTATAAATTCAGAGAGTTGCACTCTGGAGGGCTGTAATAAACCTTTAAATTCATTTTACTTCGACAAAGGTTGAAGTATGTAGCAGGCGAGCGTCAGGGACAAGTGCAGCTATCTCTTTGATCACATCGCTTTAAACATTTTTCAGCTTTAAGCTTGTCTTACAAGTCAGCTCTATCAGTCTATTAATTGTTTCACTGTACCTAATATCTTACACGAAGGCACCTTGAAAAACAGCAGGAGAAAGCACATTTGTTTAAGTCCTGCGATGGCTAGCACGGCAGCTAATCTCCTTGCAAATTATAATCATAGTTGTAGTTCATCCATTAGGCTGGAAAAGACAAGATTCCCAAGTGGCCTTGGTGCCTTTTCCAGTTCCCGGGAGACCCACCAACCCTCGGCGTGTGTTGCCTGCGCACCCGGAGCGTTCTTGCTAATCAGGTCAATGATTAGCGCCTGGCTCCAGGGACCTGCCAAGAGTGTTAGGGAGCCTCCAAACGGAGCACGCTCACGGAGAATCTCCCGTTCAGAAACATCGCTTAGTCCTCATTTACTCACTGGGAACCTCGGAGGATTTCAGCTGATGTTTTTCTCTCCTTAGACAGTGAGGAGCTCAACATAACAGGGAAAAGGAGCACAGGATGCAGCTACTTAGAGGGTGTTGATTGAAAACTTCGATCTCCCCACCCCATCACGGTTGATTTGACGGATTTCTCACCTCGTTCACAGAGAAAATTTCAATTAAGGTAAGTGCTGCTTTATCCGGGTGACTGCATGGCACTGAATTTCTGCATTGAAAGTTCTAACTGACTAAACTGACATTCTGCACTGCAGCAAGTGACTGTGTCAGGAAAAGCTTAATTTATAAGCAAGTTTCCTGGAGTAAAAACGGCGTTGGAGATAATGATATCTCAGGGCAATTTCTTTTGAAATACATTCATTCTGCCTTGTATCCAGAGAAAATAAAAGGGAACATGAAAAGATAGTTAATTTCTCATTTTACCTTTTTAATAATCTATCTGGAGGGTTGTGCATTGCCAAGGTAAATTGATTTTGATTGAAGTGATTTGTTGATGTCATATAGTAAAATCTGAGTCTGAAAGCTTCAAAGTTAAATCAGATGGAAAGAAAATTTGCAAATGCGAGTTGAGATTTTGTGCAGCTTTCTACTTTAGCAATATTCCTGAGCTCCCTTTTGGTTTAAGGATTTAGGACTAAATCCCTGAATATTTTAATAGTATCCATTTGGAACTTAAAACTTAAATGTTATAGTTTCTGATGCAAGTATTAAGAAAAATGAAACTAGAAGACTTATTATACCATTCATATAATTTATAGTCCTTATTCAACAGAAGTGGATTTCTTTTATGACATGAATAAAAAAAGAAAGCAAAGGAAAATTAAGTGCTTTCTAAAATGCTTGTTTTTGAAAGAATTCTTCAATAAGAGATTATGTGTTTGTAAAAAAATCTTTTTTATGTTTTATTTCATTTTTATTATTAAGATATAATGAATCGAAGTGAAGCTTACATTTCCTATATCATTTAGGGCAATTATCCAGGTAATTCAGATTAAACCATTCCATATTAATTCTTTTTTACCCATTTTCTTGTAAGCTTGTTAAAAATATCTAGAAAGGTATTGTAAGCAACTTTTTTCCAAAGTTTAATTACCTGAACTTTTTCTTTTCTACCTTACTAAGCGCATACATGCCTGATGGTTTTACTCCATATTATGATAAATTTTTATGTAATTAAGAGTAATTAAATAATTATATCACTATAATTATGTGATCTATTAGTCTGCACTCTAAATACTGAAGAATAGCAATCACTTACCTTGATACTGTATGACATAAAAGTTTTCAAATAATGAAATAAACATTATTTAAAATATCACATATAATACTGAAACAGGTTGATTTTTAACAATTAATTTCTATTGTTAAAGCAAAATGTAAATATCTAGCTGCTTTTGTATAAAGATTTATAATGGTATCTCAAGTGTGCTTTTCAGAGTGAGCACTCGTATTTCCTGAAGTGCTGACTTCCCTTTTCTTCTATGGATCTCTTGAGATGGGACATTTTATAAAGATGTCAGAACACTTTCTAATAATTGGCTATCATTCTGAAATTCTCTGGAGAGCTTTTCAGGCTGATGTCGATGTTACTGCTTCTTCCAGAGGAGTAAACTATTTTCAAGGTTCCCAAAGGCTGATGTGTACTTGGCTACCAGTATGTTTGTAGCTAAAGCCTGAAGACTTTTATCTACTTCTCTTGTTCTGAGACGTCTATCTCTTTTCCCTGGGGAGATGATTTCTCAATAGAATTAAAGATAATTGAGAGAAGAATGTGTTGACTACAGTGATTGTCCCTGGGTCTTTGGCTTCTTTTTTTTTTTTTTTTTTTAAGCAAACTTGATAAACAGAAAGAGGCAACATTAACCAAACAGGGACACACACTTGCTACTAGCGAACTTGCATGTCGCTGAAAACATCTCTATCCTTGTGCCAACTTCAGAATTGATGGTGGCATCAGACCCAATGAACTTTTTTGTTGGATGTATTGACCACTGAAGTGTCTGACCAGAGTACGTCCATTGAAGGTTGTGTTTACTGTCTAATGAAATATCTATGTTTAAAAATTGAGGGAATTGTAGTTCTCATTCAAAAAACAACAAATCCCCAATACACATGTTTACTTATATAACAAACCACCATATGTACCCCTGAACTTAAAATACAAATTTAATTTAAAAAATTAAAAATGCAATTGCTTAAAGGAGTCTTACCATTGTCATAGTTGTCTGAATTTGCAATATACTGATAAGAGGATGAAGAAAATCTTGGGTTCAACTGAGAATTAGTAACAGTTTATTTTACTTAGCATCTGCCTCCTTAATCTATACTGAATTCCATTTTTCATTTGATTGAGGGTAGTTTATTTCTTCTGTAAGATGGGAAAACATCTCATAGGATAACCTCACTTAGAGTAGGAAGTCTCAAAATTTAAATAAAATAATCTTTTAAAACTTTACAAAACTTGCTTCAAGTTCTTCTATAACTTGCTTCTCAATAAGTAATATGTTCAATAAAAGACACTAGAGATAGGCAGTATCTAATCTAGCTCACATGCTTCCTCAACTCAGATAGCTGAGTTATAAACTTTTTATATATGAATAAATGATAAATATAAAAACATATGAAAGTTGAAATGTTAACATGGATGTTATTTGCCCTCATTTTCCAGAAGGAAAGCTGGAATCTGAGAGAGCATATGTAACTGGGCCAAGGGCACACAGTAATGAACCTATAACTAAAATTCAGATCTGGCTGTGTTTAAAACTCATACACTCTATACCATACCTTTTTGTTACCTCATATATGGTGACTGTTTCCAGCACTTGACATGATACTCATGAATATTGTAAGACTATTTTTAAGATAGTACAGAGTAATCATATTACCTTTAGAACAGGTTAACTCTTGTTTACACAAAATAAATGATTTTGTAAATTCCATCACCACCAGTATTGGAAACCAGCATGTACTTTGTTCTTTTAGTTTCTGAAAGAGGTTAGTGTGCAAGTCTTTGCTTCCAGCTAATTCTGATTACTACTGACAGAAAAAGCACTCTACTGTAAGCAAAGTCTCTACTGAAATTTAGTATTTGTAACATATACATCTTTCCAAGAGAGGTTGACACACTCTCAGGATAAAATAAAATAAAATGTAGAGATATAAATTCAGTGTTAATTGTATTGAAATGCGATTAAAAGGAAGTTAAGGGAACTCAGGTTAATAGTGAAAGATATTCACAATATTAGAAAAGGTAGAGAAACTAACTGTTGGAATTGAATGTTGGAAGTGGACTTCAGAAAAAACAGACTTACATATTCAGCAGCCTATTTGCTATGCTGACTTTACATAAACTTTCCCATATGTCCACAGAGGTTTGGTGTAGCTAATCATGTTGATATTGTGGTAATATTTTTCAATTAATATTTGATCTAATCCTGTGACAAGAAGGGAGGGATGTTATAAGATTAGAGGTGACCTGGAAAATTTAATATGATTAGCTGTCATATCCAATGATGTGCTAAGATGGTAACTAGAAGTTAGGTTGTATGGTTATAAAATATGATAATTTATTGTGTTCCAACATGTTCCCAAATCTGGAAAGAGATGACGTTGTACCAGATACTGTAAATAACAGGTTCCACAATGACTAGAAATATGTTCAAGGCATATATGTGTATAATCTCCAACAACCAACCAGCGTACTTTCAATTCTCTAGGTTGTTGGAAAATGGTTGGCTTATCCTAATTGTGTATAAGAATAACAGAAAAAACAAAGTATATGTACACATTACCTCCTGTATTACTATTCCAAAAGAATGAATATTATCTATAAAGAACAATATTGTAGAAGAGCTTGTAATGGTAACAGTTCACAATGCATAGGTGTTTCCACTAAGAAAATATGACCATGTGTCTAGGCTCTACTGGCCGCAGTAGATTTGATGAGAAATGAATGTGCCAAGGTCTAAGAGAGCCCTCTCTAGACTGGCCAATGGCCACCATGTGGCCTTCCAGGAGAACCATGCCAATAAAAATGTTCTGTGTGAAATAACAAATATTTGACTTGGTTATCTTAAATTTGAAATACCATGTGGAGCCTCAGCAGTTAGTGGCCAGGAAAAGAAGTTGAGAAACATAGAAAGGACAGTCTGTGGAAATCATGAATAAGCTGCAGTAATGAGGCCAGTAGAAAAGAAAGAAAAGAGGTTAATTGCATTAGGTCAGTAAGAACAGACACATTTTCTAACTTACCCTAATAGCTAAGCGCAAGAAGAAAAGAGTGCTTCTCAGAGGAAGTACTGTGTTATCCTGGGTTGATATCCCGTATCGTATTCCAGGCATACCATGCAGTGGTGAGACTTCCCCATTTTTCACATTCACATTTTTCTCTGTAGTTTTAGTCCTGTTAATCCATTCAAATTGAGCACATCTATTTCCCTTACAAATGAAAATATTACAACTAACTCAGTATCTTACATGTTCATAGTTCTGGTAGACAATGGATAGGGCAGTAATGTTTAGTGGCTGTACGTGTTCTAGGTTCAACTACCTGGTTCAAATCCAGCTGAGGGCATTTTCTAGCTCTGTGGCCTTGGACAAGTCAGTTAAGGTGTCTAAACTTTGTTTTTATGTTATTTAAAATTGAGCCAATCACAGTACCTATCCTATTGTAGTGTTCTGAGAAATAAAGGAGGGAATTGATATATCCACAATTGCTCAGGTCCTCAGAAAATGATAGTTGTTATTATAAATAGAGAACCTTATTATTAGCTGTCACCTTACCTGTAAAGTAGCAAAAATTAGAGATCTTTTCTCTCCTAAGCAACAATGAACACGTGGATCTTGCAAAACTTCCAGGAACAATTTCATAACACTGTGTTTATATAAGTACATTTTGAATTTTGGGGCATACTCTTTTTTGGGGGTCCTGTTGGATTTACACAGATGAAGTGGATGTTTCTTAAAAGAATGTAACTTAGGAGCCATTTTAGAGAAACCATCCTATTTGTCATGAGGACTAAATTAGCAACTGAATTCTTTGACTCTTTCTTACGTACATTGAAAGGAATTGAACAAGTCTTGAAAAAGAAGTTCCATTTGACCACTGGTAGTCAACAATCTAACTTGGTATTACAGGGGCCAGAAAAATAGCCCATGATTTGTTTTTGTAAATAGAGTTTGGTTGGAATACAGCCACAGCTATTCATTTCCATCTTGTCAATGGCTGATTGCAAGCCACAAAGCCAGAGTTGAATAGTAGAGCAGAAAAAGATTGTAGAGCCTGAAAAGCTAAAAATATTGGCCATTTTGTCTTTCACAGAAAAAGTTTGCTGACTGCTTCTTTAGAAGAGAAACATTCATCTTGCATGATTTTTTTATTATCAGCATAATGAATATTTGGTAGAATTTTTTTTCTTTTTCTTTTTTTTTTTTTGAGGCAGTCTTTTTTTTTTTTTTTTTTTTGAGACGGAGTCTCGCTCTGTCGCCCAGGCTGGAGTGCAGTGGCGCGATCTCCGCTCACTGCAAGCTCCGCCTCCCGGGTTCACGCCATTCTCCTGCCTCAGCCTCCCGCGTAGCTGGGACTACAGGCGCCTGCAACCATGACCGGCTAATTTTTTTTTTTTTTTTTGTATTTTTAGTAGAGACAGGGTTTCACCGTGTTAGCCAGGATGGTCTGGATCTCCTGACCTCGTGATCCATCCACCTCCGCCTCCCAAAGTGCTGGGATTACAGGTGTGAGCCAACACGCCGGACCGTGGTAGAATATTTTTAAATGTCTTGAAGATAACTATCTAAATGTCTGTCTCTGGAGAGACTCAGTATTTTTATTTCCTCACACTCACTAATTCATCCATATTTTTCTATGGTATTTAAAACCTCTAATTATAAATTTTGACAAAGTTATCAACTACCAGTGTATATATGCAAAAGTATTCCACTGCATACTTTGCATATTGATTCAAATAATAAACATAGAGAAACTCTTTTTTTTTTTTTTTTTACAGTGGAATCCATTATTTTTCATCCTCCAAGCCACACCTTATATTTTGGTACATATAGGAATCAACTGCTATGTGACTTAAATAAAGAAGCAGATTCCTGGGTCTCATTCCTGGAGTGCTGATTTCACAAGTCAAACCTTAGTGGGTTTAGTAGGTCAAAACTTTGGTAGATTTCTTTCAGTTGTAGAAAAGAAACCAGGAACCACAGTTTGAGACATATACAGTTGATTCTGACAAAAACAGAATATATAAGAATGTGGCCTAATTATTGGGATTTAAAAAAAAAATTTCCCAGGTAACTCTATTATGTAGCCCCAGTTGGACACTGCTGCTGTCGACCAGCAACTCTCAAACCTTAAGAACAGGCACGCAAGTTACCTGGGGATCTTTTTTAGAGGTTTTAGAGTGTGCCTCAAGATTCTGCATTTCTAACAACCTGCCAGAGAGGTTGATGCTACTGGTGATGAGAAATGCTGCTCTCATATCACCACTGCCCCCTACTCTGCCCCATGGCTGCCATGGGTGGACGAGTGTCTACTGGAGGACGTTTCACAGGATGAGACTCACTGCCTAGCTCACCTGAATCAGATGTTGATCAACCTTCTTGAGAAGCTTTTCCCATCTCAGGAAGGTGATGAAAAATTCTGAACCAGGTCAAAATTGAGAAATATGTATATTATATTTAATATATAATATAAAATTTTGTGTGTATATTTAATCTATTGTTGATTTCTACATAACTATTTTGGACATAGAATAGTTGGATGTCTTAGAAAGCAAAATATTTAGGTAAGTATCGCTGACATATTTAATTCCTTGCAATTAAGAGGGACAGGGTGTTCATTGCTTCTCCAGTCTCCCTTCCCAATATCTAGAAGTTTTTGGCTATAGCATTGCCCAAGATAACTCCATACTGAAGTTCAAAACTTATCAGAAAATGCTGACTTCTCTGGTAACATCTCAGTTCTCTGTATTCTAGCAATGTAGCCTTAAGACTTTCTTCTTTGTCAGTTCAACTTTCTTCTCTCCCAAAACTGAATTACAAGGATATTGATTTCATCTCTCTTCTTTATTTAAACTTTTCTCCCTTTCTAATCTCAACTGCCATATTTCTTTCTTATTGCCAAAATCTATAAACAATAGAGGGAAATATATTTCATTAATATAGATATAAATTTTGGATAATTTATATTACCATCATTATGGTAATATAAATTAAAAATTACAAACCTGCCCCCATAATTTCCTATTACTCTTCTCTATTATTTTCTTCTGTAATGTTTAAAATCTTATCAACCGTATTCTTTTAAATTTATTTGATTATTGTTTTTCTCCCCACTCCCCATTATTAGAATGTGAGCTCTATGAAGGCAGGCTTTTTGTTTCTTTTATTCAAAGCTGCAACTCAGTACCTAAGATAGTGTCTGTTACAGAGTTTATCCTCAGAAAATATTGTTGACCAAGATTGAGTGAATATTCCAAATTAATTTCTGTGGCTGTTGTATTAGAATTGAGGCAATTGCTTTTGCTTTTGTTGTTAACGTTTTAACACATTATAAAATCTTAATGTGTAAGATTCAACCATATTTGTTCATTGACATTCATCCATTGAATTTACTCAGTAACTATTGTGTACCTCTTAAGTGTTAGGTGCTGTGCTAGGTGCTAGGGATACATGTTGACAAGGCCTAGTTCCTATGCATAATATGCTCAGCCTGATGGTGGGAGAGGGGAACTAAAGAACGAGTAGTCACAATGCTTGTGGTCTGCCATCATGGAACATATGTACAGACTGCTGTCAATGCACAAAAAATAGCTCCTGACTTAAACAGAGAGGCCAAGAGGAATTCCCTTATCTGTAAATTAAAGAATAGCTTGAATTTAGACAGACAGGAAAAGAGAGACCATTAGCTCCTAATGGAAATCACACTATGTGCTAAAAGCACAGAGATATGTTGGGTGCATTCCTGACACCCTCCAGCACCACATTAGTTTGATAGAACATGACAATGGAGTGGTGAATATGTAAAAAAGAGCAGCTTCATTGATGCCTGTGTAAGAGGTGCGAACTTTAACCCAGGAATAATGAGAACTCATTAAAGAATTTTCAGAAGGGCAAGCTAGATTTATTGCTGCTCTAGTCTGAATTTTACATTTTATTTTTTACTACTTCAAATAGAAATACATGTTATTAGCTACTTAAAAAAATACACGTGAATTGGGCTGGGCGCGGTGGCTCACGCCTGTAATCCCAGCACTTCGGGAGGCCGAGGCGGGTGGATCATGAGGTCAGGAGATCAAGACCATCCTGGCTAACACAGTGAAACCCCCGTCTCTACTAAAAATACAAAAAACTAGCCGAGCGTGGTGACGGGTGCCTGTAGTCCCAGCTACTCGGGAGGCTAAGGCAGGAGAATGGCGTGAACCCGTGAGGTGGAGCTTGCAAAGGCTGAGGCGGGAGAACGGCGTGAACCCGTGAGGCGGAGCTTGCAGTGAGCTGAGATCGCGCCACTGCACGCCAGCCTGGGCGACAGAGGGAGACTCCGTCTCAAAAAACAAAAAACAAAACAAAACAAAACAAAAACACGTGAATTCTATGTTTCTATTTCATTGAGTTGTTTGAGTTCCTTATAGATT
This sequence comes from Homo sapiens, assembly GCF_000001405.40. NCBI lineage: Eukaryota > Metazoa > Chordata > Mammalia > Primates > Hominidae > Homo > Homo sapiens. The sequence goes on along the minus strand of NW_025791777.1, from coordinate 1,924,335 downwards.
CTGGATATTAACCCCTTGTCAGATGCATAGTTTATAGATATGTTCTCCCATTCTGTCAGTTGTCTCTTTGCGCTGTGGATTGTTTCCTTTGCTATGAAGAAGCTTTTTATTTTGATGTAATCCCATTTATCTATTTTTGCTTCTAAATCTGTGTGTTTGAGTTCTTATCCCACAATCCGAATAGAATTTCTCAAAAGGGGGACATACAATGGCCAACAGGCACATGAAAAAATGCTCAACATCACTAATCTTCAGGGAAATGTAAATTACAAACACAGTGAGATATCATCTCACCTCAGTTAGAATGGCTATTATCAAAAAAGCAAAAAGTAACAAGTGCTGGCAAGGATGTGGAGAAAAGGGAATTCATATTGCTGTTGGTGAGAATGTAAACTCGTACAGTCATTATAGGCAAGAGTAGGAAGGTTTCTCAAAATATTAAAAATAGAACTACCATATGATCCCAAAATGCCATTGCTGGGTCTGTATCCAAAGGAAATAACATCAGTATGTCAAAGAGATGTCTGCACTCCCACATTTATTGCAGCACTATGTACAACAGCCAAGATATGGCATCAACCTAAGTGTCCATCAGCAGATGAGTGGACAAGGAAAGTGTGGTATATATACACAGTAGAATACTATTCAGCCATAAAATAGAATGAGATTCTGTAATTTGTAGCAACTTGGATGAGCCTGGAGGACAGTATGTTAAGTGAAATAAGCCAGGCACAGAATGACAAATACCTCATGATTGCACTCATATGCGGTATCTGAAAAAGATGATCTCATAGAAGTAGAGAGTAGATTAGAGGTTAGCAGAGGCTGTGGCGGGGGGAGGGAAAAAGATGTATAGAAACAAATTGGTCAAAGTTACAGTTAGATAGGAGAAATAAGTTTTAGTATTCCATTGCACAGCATGGTGACTATAGTTAATATAACATATATTTCAAAATAGCTACAAGAGAAAATTTTGAATGCTCTCACCACAAACAAATGATAAATTTCTGAAATGATGGATATGCTAATTGCCCTAACTTGATTATTACACATCGTATACCTATGTTGAAACATCACACTGTTTCCCATAATTATGCACAATTATTATGTGTCAATTAAAAAATAAATTTTAAAAAATTTAAAAAGGCACATGAAAAACAAAAATATGTATACTATAGGAGAAAATAAGTTTTAGTGGAGTTGAAGGGAGAGAAAGTCACTTACCTAAATGCTGTGCCAAGAATATATGAAAGTTCACGTGTAGAGCTTTGAACCAAATAAAGTTGAATGAGCATAAATTTGGCAAAGTTAGAAATCCATAGGTGATTTTCAGGGGTTCTGTATTGCAGGATTAGATGAATGAATGTATTTCAGTTTCAGAGTTCAGGAAAAGTGAAGAATATGGATGGCCATATCTGCTAGTACTGACGTGGAGAAGTGTTCACATCCTCCCACCTCCTGACTGCGACCTAACAGAAAAGGCCACTTTTTTGCCTCTACTCTTGCTGGATAATCAAAGTCAAACTGAGCTATTTAAATTTAACACCATTGACATTCTTAGAAGGAGAACTTCTGAGCTTTTTATTTCAGAGATAGAACACTAAGGGTTAACTCTGGCAAAATCTCTGACCCTTTTGTGCAGAGCTTGTTGTCGCTAATATTAGCTGAAACTAATTTTTCAGTTTTCCCTTACCATTCTACCTAAAATATCACCCACCCTATCTCTTTCTCCTTATTGTTCATCTCAGATTTACTGTCTTACCTGCTGATGGTTGCTCCAATGGGACTGTAAGCTCTGTGAAGATGAGAACCTTGCTTTGTTTACTGCTGCAGGCTCATCACCTAGATCAGTGTCTGTCACAGAGGTAGTAACTATATGTTGAAAGAAGGAAGGAAGGAAGGAAGGAAGGAAGGAAGGAAGGAAGGAAGGAAGGAAGGAAGGAAGGAAGGAAGGAAAGTAGGGAGGGAGGGAGGGAGGAAAAGAGAGGGAGGGAGGGGCAGAGGGAGGGAGATATCAGTGCATTCCCTAATCTCGCCTCAAAACCTTTTCTATGTCTTCTCTCTTTACCATCTCAGTAAGTGGCACTCTAATCCACCCAATGTGTCAAGTTAGGAATCCAGCAAACATCTTTGCCTTCCCACTTGTCACTTCCCACAGATCCAATTAACATGTGGTCCTTTCAATCCTGCCTTCTAACTTTCTCTCCCCTGGCTTTCCCTCGTTGTTTCCCCACAGTTCTTATCACCTTCATCTGTCACTTGCCTTATGGCTGCATTACCGTATTCCTTTTCTACACAAGATAATGCCATATACTGACAGAAAATTGATATCTCTGAATACAAGCTTGCCCTATTACCCCCATGTTAAGGCTTCTCTTGTAGTTTCCCTGCTTTTTAAAGACATAATTAAAACCCCCACTGGACACCCATTTTTTTGTATATATTTAAGGGGTACAAGTACAATTTTGTTATATGCAATATATATTGCATAGGGTGAAGTCTGGCATTTTAGGGTATCCATCACTCAAATAATATACATTGTACCCATTAAGTTATTTATCCTCCCTCACACTTTTCCATCCCCCAAGCTCTGAGTCTCCAGTGTGTATCATTTCATACTCTATGTTCATTTGTACACATTATTTAGTGCTACTTATAAGTGAGAACATGCGGTATTTGTCTGTTTCTGAGTTATTTCACGTAAGATAATGGCCTCCAGTTCTATCCATGTTGCCACAAAAGACATGATTTAATTCTTGTTTATGTGTGAATAGTATTCCATTTTGTATATACACCACATTTCTTTATCCAGTCATTTTGTGATGGATTGATTCTGTATCTTAGATATCTTAAGATATGGAAACTTAGGTTGATTCCATATCTTTATATGGTGAATATGGCTGCATCCATTTCAACGTGAGGTTTGGATGCTGCATCATATCTGCTTTTTCTTAATCTCAAGCAGTCTATGACCCAGCCATGGTTGCTATCATTTGGTTCCTATGTCTGAGATTTCATGTTTGCTGTCTGTCACAGTAAGTTGACTTTTTGTCTGACTAGATCTATTGACCTTCAGAACTCAAGATACATTTCATACAAGTGTTTTTTGGCCCCTACAAGTGGAGTTCAAATGTTTTTTCTATCAGTTTCCATAGCACACTCTATGTCCCTTATAATCCAATCACAGAACTCATTACTTCATTGAATAATGCCACACTTCAAACTCTTTGATGGCAGGTTCTATGCCTGTGTCATTCACTACTATATTCCCAGTGACAGGCACTTATGTGCCCAAATCCTTTGTAAAAAGAATAGTTGGTGATCTTCTTCAAATTAAAAACATAGTTATTTATTCATAAGCCAATGCTTCTTCCTTCTACTTGGGCAATTAAATTCCTGACATTCTGAAAAGAATTTTGCTTCCCTATGTCCCCTTGATGAAATGTCAGAGAACACAAAGTATAGTAACAATTAGATTAATTCAAAACACTTATCATGGTAGTAACCACTGAAATCTGTTTAATGCATTTCCAACATCATATCCACCTTATGGATGATGTAGATATCTTGTACTTTAATGAACAGTGGAAATTGTTCACACACGTTTGGTAAAAGTCACCTATTTTCAATCAGCTCTTTTCTGTGTAATAACTGGGTGACATTTCTCATCCATTTGTGATCAATGAACATGCATATTTTAACTCACACGTCAATTTTCTTCAAAAGCACCACTCTTATAGCTTTGTATTTCATAACTGGATGATAATTAGTATAGGGGAGCTACACTAATTCCTATTCTCCAGCTTTTTGATCTTCAGAGAAGTGTAATTGGTAGAACAAACAACTGAAATTGGCTATATTGTACTTGATAATCAGTAGTCAAAAAGCACATCCTGAAGAGATACACTTTGATCTCTTGTGTTTGAGAAATAATTACACTGTTATATTTAATATTACAATAATTAAATGATATTTTATTATTTGTCCTTTATATGAAGTGAGGTAAAATACTCTAAAAATCAATATAGAGTAAACAACAGCAATAATTCTGGAAAGTATTTCTCTCACAGATATTTAGAAGCAATCTTCCCTGGAACCATAATCCTCAAAAGGAAATTGCAATCCTTGCAGAAACACAGTTTGGGTCATCTGGGTCCAGGTCTCTGTGTTTTTCTAAAAGCCTTCACAAGGCACAAGTGACATTTTAAATAGCTTGTCAGGAAAAGAAGTGATTTCTAATGCAGATCCACCAAATAAAATGTTTTTTGTCAGCGCCCCTAAAGGCAAACATCTAAAAGGCAGAGAGAAAAAGAATGCAAAGAAAAATGTTGTGACTAGTGTCCAAGGGGGAACATAATAGAAAAATAATAGAGACATATCTCTTGTCAAACAAAAAGTAAACAGGTTTAATATCCCACAATTCTACATCTACTGAGAAGTATAATTAAACATCAGGAATGTTTTTCTCTATGGGATGCTAAGCCATTTTGTTCTTGAAAATATTTTAGGGAAAAAGAGCAGGTCCAATTATGCTCTGATCTGCAGGCATGAAAAGAGGAACTCAGCCCAGAGGTAAGCAGCGGGGAATGAAAACAGTTAACACAAAAGTTTAGTTAAAGCTATGAATGCTTCACACTGATTCTTTTAACAAAGTAAAGCTTGTTGTGTGATAGTGTTTATATTACCCTTGGTCTTAAACAACATATGAACTTAGGAAGCTACCGGCCATCTCCCACCCTCACGCCTCTCCTGGTCTTTTCTAGTCTAGTTTTTACAGACTCCTGAGTTATCTAACCCTCATGACTAAGTAGCCACACATGTATCAACATAGAGTCTCTTCATTGTCTTTGGTTTTGTTTGTGTGTCTGTTGTATTAGTGTCCTATTCAAGAAGTTTGGTGATCTTATTTTGAAAAGAACCAGTAAAGTTAAAATGTGTTGCTTCCCCAAGTGGTTTGTTCCATATTTGGAGGAATCTGAGTAAGCATTTCCTCGTTTTAAGAATTCTGTACTCCCAGGTGCAGAGCTGGGTGCTCTGGCACTTTCTCTATAATCATAATTCAAGTTCACGTGCCTCTCCAATTTCCCCTTTTGAACACATTGTAGTTTGAGGTTATTGAAAGACCATTCACTCTCTCTATCTCTCTAGTGACCCATACTAAGTACAAAAAATAGGCCGAATTTTCCTATCTGCTTTTTTTACTAAATAAATAAATAAAAATAAAAAATGTCAGGTTTGTTAAACATTTCAAAATCTTGAGGATTGGTAAAGAGGGTGATTCTGCTTGTGTTATATTTATTGAAATGTTTCATAGGTTTTGCATTCCGAAAGGAAAATTCAGAATTGATAGCATTTTTGTCCACATAAAGCCATTACCAATGAAAGTGTAAGATGTATTCAAATACTTGCCTTGAGTTTTGTGCATAAATCACTTACTAGATAGAGCAGAATTGTTGAAGTCATATAGGAATAGAAAGTAGAGTTTTCATAGGTCCTGGAGTTACTCATCTCAATCTGACAACAGCATAACTACTTATACAAATAGAGCAAATTTAACATTCCAGTTGCTAGGTATCTTTTAAACAGCAGAAATAGTTTTGTAGACATTAAGTTCCTTAGGCATTTGTTATGATTCCTACATAAAAATAAAAATATTGAAGAGTGTCAGAAATGCCTGTTTCTAACATTGTCAGATAACATAACTATCATGTATGTAACATGTTTATACAATATGCTTATTTGGTGTGTAAAATAAATCTGAAGCATTTTTTTAACATTATTAGTTATTACATAAAATGCAAGTAGAATAAAAGTGTTATTGCATTATTCATTTAGCCAACACTATCAGTACGTTTTTGGGGTGACTGACAGAAGTACAAAAGAGAGACTACTGAAGTGCTAGAAATGAACACCCCGACACAGATGGTAATTACATAGAGACACTCACCCAGACACACACACTATGATATTTTAGTAATGAAAAAAGTTATTCTGCATGGTTTGCTAAGAACTTTGTTGTAATTATAAGTAAATTATCTTTTTATTCTTTTAAATATGATTAAGAATAATATTGTTGTGAATAAAATCATACTTATTTTACTGTTATTTTTATCATAATGAATGTTGTCCCACCAATTTGCAAGTGAAGAGCACCATGTAAAGCCTTTTAATAACTTTCAAATTGATTTCACACTGATACATAAGAAAAGAAAAAAATAAGAAAGGTTTAAGGATTTTCTGCAAGAAGCATACAAATTTATAAATTAGAAAAATCCATACTTTTTGAGAGACTTTATAAATATTAACAGTAATGATTTTGTGTTTGAGATCATCTTGGGAGACATTGAGCCAGAAATAAAGTAATTGCCCCAAACTTTTTATGGTATAGATGTATTTTAGGAACAAGTGATAATAACATCATAGTTTCAGATTAGGAAAATGCAATAAGGAGTCCTTACCAATACCTGATCTTCACAAAAAGCAATGAAAGCTAATTTAGAATAAAACAGAAGAGCTGACTAATCAGAAAAGAAACAATGCTGCTTAAAGCTGCTTCTCTTTAAAAGCATCTCACTGATACTCTCTGGCAAAATCTACCTTGCCAATATTCTTTCCATTCTTTTTTGTTTATTTATGTATTTATTTATTTATTTTGAGATGGTGTCTCGCTCTGTTGCCCAGGCTGGAGTGCAGTGGTGCACTCTTGGCTCACTGCAAGCTCGCCTCCCAGGTTCACACCATTCTCCTGCCTCAGCCTCCCAAGTAGCTGGGACTACAGGCACCTGCCACCACGCCCAGCTAATTTTTTTTGTATTTTTAGTAGAGACGGGGTTTCACTGTGTTAGCCAGGATGGACTCGATCTCCTGACCTCATGATCCTCCCCCTTCGGCCTCCCAAAGTGCTGGGATTACAGGCATGAGCCGCTGCACCCGGCCTATTCTTTCCATTCTTTAAGTTGAGGTATTGAAGGCCCCTGTGTTAGAAATGCAACAAACAGTTTCTTATTAATGAAAATCTTATCATAATCTATTTTTTAACTCTTATTTTAAGTTCAGGAGTAGAAGTGCAGGTTTATGTAGGTAAACTTGTATCATGAGAGTTTGCTGTACAGATTGTTTCATCACCCAGATATTAAGCCTAACACCCATCAATTATTTTTCATGATCTACTTTTTTGTCTGATTGAGGATTAAGAAATTCGACTGACCCACTCTGAATCCCTTTCCTTGGGGAAAAGAAGCAAGATCTATCACATGAAATAATTAAAGGGAGAGAATACCCAACAAGGAGCTACAGTGATGTCCCAAAGCCACAAGAACTTTAGGCTGAGATTGAAAGGAGAACACAGGCAACAAGGAGAAGTGGGACAATAGAGCCCTCTGGGTGCCTGAGGACACCTCAGAAGTTGTTTGAGTCCTGATGCACATGTTAGAATAAATGTCTCTAGTCCCCTTGCAGATATCCTTTTTTGATGAGAGCAAATGAGGGACTTTTGAAGCTGCGTAAAGCCTTCTACCTACTTGAGGTCAACTCAGCGTAGGCAGTTTCTCACTGTATATGTGGCTTGTGTATAGGATGTCACCTGGAATGGAGTGCATGAGAAAGCAGGAGAGAAAATTCTAATGATCTCTGTAAAATGAATAAACGATTACATACAGGCCAGGCAAAGTGGCTCATGCCTGTAATCCCAGCACTTTGGGAGGCCGTGGTGGGCAGATAATGAGGTCGAGAGATCGAGACCATCCTGGCCAACATGGTGAAACCCCATCTCCACTAAATATACAAACATTAGCTGGGCGGGGTAGTGCGTGTATTCCCAGCCACTCGGGAGACTGAGGCAAGAGAATCGCCTAAACCCGGGATTCGGAGGTTGCAGTGAGCTGAGATCATGCCACTACACTCAAGCCTGGCGACAGAGCAAGACTCTGTCAAAAAAAAAAAAATTACATGCAGATAGAATAGACAGAGATATACATACATATGCACACACACCCACATACATACACGCTGTAATATACACACACTATTTCTACCAAAACTTCTGTAATATAGGATAGAGAAATGAAGACGTGTAGAACGTTCTTATTTAAATCTATGTAAACATCTAGGTTAAATTCTGTGATTAATATGTATATATGACTCTTTTTAAAAATTATTACTACTAATAGGTTGAAACTGAGAAAATGAAAGACAGAAAGAAAGAGAGGGAGGAGAGATGCCACCTAGGAAAAAAGAGTTTTTCACACCAGGCTTTTATTCCCTCATATTGAGCTAAATTTAGGAACAAGAAATAAAGGAGAGAAAATGGCAAAACATGCTCTCTTTTGCAGAAGATTGTAGAGAAAGAGAAATCCCCATAAGAAATAAATTTGGTGGCAATAGAGTGAGAGTTGGAGAATCCTTTGCTTCTGTGTGTTTAAAAGGTATAAATACACATTTTATATTTTCTTATTCATTGTATTGAGAATTAAATGAGGTAAAGTATGAGAAAGCACCCATCTTAATGAATGACAAATAACAATTTTTCAAAGGAAAAATAATAATTGTTTTTCCTTTGGCTTTCCCAGCGTTAACAGTGTTACCAGGTAGCACATCCAAGTTTGTAAAGTAGAATTGGAAAGGCATAATGGTTAAAAGAATGGCATTCACAATTCAACACATTGACATTTCAATCTGAGTCTACCACTTACTACCTATGTAGCTTTAGACAATTTTTGTCACTCTTTAATGCTCTGATTTCCTTTCATAGCATAACACAGACAATATTAACAGGTAGTTATATAATGAGATACTATAATAAATGTGCTTAGTGAAGCACCTGGCTTACAGCAAGCACACTACTGCTGAGGAGGTTATTATTATTTCAGCAACTGGATAGCCCATGTCCCAATATTTCACTGACATTGCCCTGTCACTGATTCTAGCTACAATCTTGGTCTCAAATCTCCCTAATAATTTCAAGTTTAAAAAGCCTCTGTTTACCTAGAGGACAGAAAACTAACTTTTATCAAGAACCTATGGCAACCCATATTTCTAGGCTTGGGATAATATCATCAGGTCCTATTTTCATCAACTGACACCTTTACGATAGCTCAGGATCACTGCCTTGATTGCTGCCCCTGAGTCACTTGATTTCTCTCCTGGCTGTTTGTGAAACTCCCAAGGTGCTCGCTTATACTCTTAGAAAAAAAGTCTTGTATTTCCCTGTCTGACCTCCTGCCATCTGCCAGGCAAGACCACAACTGCTGATGTCTCTTGGGAGATCACAGCTCCTCTGGGTGAAACTGTCCCATGCCCGTGGTCCCCATTACTCACAAAATTGTAGCTACAGGGAAAGAATAACATATTGCCTTTTATTTCTTTTTTACTCACAACTTGAACCTGGCCTTTTCATTAAGACCACACTGCACCGACAGACCAAGTGGCAAGTTTTTTTCATAAAGTAAAGAAATAATAGTGGGGAGGCCAGTCACGGTGCCTCACACCTGTAATCCCAGCATTTTAGGAGGCTGAGCTGGGCGGATCCCTTGAGGTCAGGAGTCCGAGACCAGCCTGGCCAACATGGTGAAACCCTGTCTCTACTAAAAATACAAAAATTAGCCGGGCATGGGGGCGGACGCTTGTAATCCCAGCTACTCGGGAGGCTGAGGCAGGAGAATCGCTTGAACCCAGGAGGCAGAGCTTGCAGTGACCTGAAATTGTGCCACTGAACTCTAGCCTGGGAGACAGAGTGAGACTCGGTCTCAAAAACAAAAAACAAAAAAAAACAAAAAAAAAAAAACAAAAAAGAAGAAAGAAAAAGAAAAGAAAAGAAAGAATAGTGGGGGAGGTAGGTTACATAAGACACCATTAAGTAAGCAGTGTGTCACCTCTCTAGCTCACAAGCCTGGTACCTGAATGTCTCATCTCTGTTAACCCCTATTTACCATTGGCTAGGGGCCAGCTTTCTTTTCCTACCAGGACTGCACTAAAATAGATCTTCTAGCACAGAGGACAGGACTCATCTCCAATGAGGTGTCAGAGACAAAGCCCTAGACTCCATCCTGGGTTTTGATCATAGAAGCCTCATTTTCATTTCCAAATTCTAACATTTGTAAGTATTGGCTATGATAATGTCCACTTATTTCAATAAAACATTCCTTTCTCCCTTGCAGTCCCTAAGTTATTCTTAATAGGAAAATTAAAGGAAGATAATCCTACACAAATTCAATTGTATTAGTAAGTCTTAAATAATACCTTGTGTAGGCTACCACTGAGCTAGTATGTTGTACTGAGCCAAACCAAGTTCTTACTATATTCTCTACTGCAGTGAAAGAGTACAGTGGAGTCTGATGACTCAGCAACCCTCGTGGGTTTTTCTTCTATAAAACAACTACATCAACAATTGTGCAAACATGGATCTCCCCAAGAATTTGCCTGATACATCTGGCTGCTTATCCAAATTTGTATACCTACAAAGAAAAAAGTTTCAAAGAAGACAACAGCCAGAATAAAAAATGAACTATAATCTCTGATAATAACACACAAATTAGCTTTTTTTCTGAATTATGCCCATTCAAGGAACAGGTTGACATTCAGCACTAAGTGAAAACCTACCCCAAAGGTAATATATGAATTCACCTGTACTCCTCAATGCCTAGGAAAGTAACCAGCAAAAAGAGACAAAAATACTTACATGTTATGTAAAGCAGAAAAGACCTGGGAGTTTCCCCATCGTCTAACATTCATAGCTTCAAAAAACATGACATCGAAATCTAGTTTTAACAAAGTTATGTCATTACATTTCCTTATGCTCTTGGTTAGAATTCTGAACATGTTTACTCCTAGAAGCATTAAGCCTGAATTTGAGAAGTTATGATATCTTTAGTTCACATTAAACTTTATAGCCATCCAAATTGGTGTTCAAAACATTTAGTATTCAAAAACAAACAAACAAACAAAAACAAACAAAAAGACATATGTAGGGCTCAGATTCATGAGTCAGAGAAGCTAAAATACATTTGTTAAAATTGCAATTTTCTCCAGCATGTATGTTTGTAACCTGAGTGTCTTACTAAACTATGATTTTTTTTTTCCACACTCCATTCCAGTATCACAAATCTCAGTTTTTTTCCGACTTCCTTAACTATGTAGCCATGTCTGCATACCTACTGCATCTCTCTTAAGTACAGGCCTTCACTCTTGACTATGCAGGCAAGTATAGCAAATTCTTGCCTGGACTCAGCCTCTTCTTCAATATTCTGGCCTCCAGTCTCTTCCCTTTCAAGTGTAGCCTCCCCAGCTGTGTTCTGTTTCAAATACAAATATAACCTTACCACTTACCTACATGAAATCTCAAATGGCTCTCTGTTATCTACAAAGTGAGCCACAGTCTATTCTGGGATAAGAGGCCTACTCTGACATCCCCCCAGCTTATCCCACCCCTCCTTACCTCTCACCATTCTTTTCTTTTCAGTCACTGTGAATAATTTGTAGGCACATGCATAAGCCTGTGTGCACAAATGTACACACACACACCCCTAATGGTGCTTGTGGACCTCTGTGACTTTTATCCATGCTGTCCATAGGGCCTTAAATGTGTCTGCTCTTCTCCTTCTTATTCTTCTACATCTGTGTAACTTGTCTGGCTAATTCCTACTCTCTTTGAAACCCAAACGTGACATTACATTCACCAGAAAATGCTCTCTCATTTCCAGCCACCAGCCTCGTTAACTCATTATTTTATTAGTTTGTCATGGCTCCTAATTTTGTCTTTAGAGATTTGTATTACTTGAGAGATTATAAGTTCCTTGCAGGCCCAGACTACATATTAATTATGTGTATATCTTCAAAGACCTGTATTGTGTCAGTCACATATTAATATTTGACTGCCAGGCATGGTGACTCATGCCTGTAATCCTAGCACTTTGGGAGGCTGAGGCAGGCAGATCACTTGAGGCCAGGAGTTTGAGACCACCCTGGCCAATATGGTGAAGCCTTGTCTCTACCAAAAAAACGAAAATTAGCTGGGCATGGTGGCCCTCCTATAATCCTAGCTACTGGGGAGTCTGAGTCAGGAGAATCACTTGAATCCTGGAGGCAGAGGTTGCTGTGAGCCAAGATCAGGCCACTGCGCTCCAGCCTGGGAGACAGACCAAGCCTCTGTCTCAAGCAAACAGACAAACAAAAAACATGAGTATTAATTTTGCCATACATGAACACATATATGAAAGAATCTGTTCTTTAAAGACCATTGGTGTATATAGACAACTTATAAATAAATATTGAGTAATTACTTCTGAAACCTTTTTATCCTTAGTTGCTGAATCACACAGTTTAACCCATTTTCAATATGACACCATTTATCATTCATTAATTTAAGAGCATAGAGTCTCTTGTGTGTCAGAAACTGGGTCGATCCAGTGTATCTGTGAGCTGAAATGATTAACAAAAAAGCTCATATAACTACAAAGTGAGGAAAGCGCTAAGAGTGAAATGAGAAGGAGGCTGTAAGAGAGTATAAAGGAAGGGCTTGGCTTGGTCTAGAGGGACAAGAAACACCTCTTGGGAAAATTGATGGCCAGAGATCTGAGGATGTGCAGTTTACTAGATGAAGAGGGAAGAAAGACTGTTCTAGGCAAAGGGAAGCGTCCATGTAGTAACACTTGGGATGTTGGTTTATTCCTAGGATTGAGAGAAGCTACAGCAGCTAAAATGCAGCGATGGAGGAACACAGTCATACAGAGAAGCCTGTGCCAATTTAGAAGGAAGTTTGGAATGGGACAGGAATAGGAAAGGAAAACTATTACATTACTTCAGAAAGATATCACGATATTCCCACATTGAGGCAATGGAGCGAAATACATAGTGGTGGGAGTTGAGTAACATTTAAAGAGAAAAGTGAACTTCATTTGGCAACAGATTGGCATGCGCCAGTTGTGGGAGTGTGCAGTCAGGGATGAGTCTGAGACCCTGATTTACGGAGCTGATTGATCCTTTCATTGAGAAGATTAATTGAAGACAACAGGCTTCTGAGAGGGATCTGCAGAGACAAGAGCTCTGGCAGGTCTGCTTGGCACTGTTGGCTTTGGATGTCTTTTCGCAACACACTCCTACCAGATGACATTCTAGGAGTCACAGATATGGACAGTATGTGGAAAGAGTAGAGACAAGAGGAGGAACTCACAGCCAAACCATAAGAAATTCTAACATCTGTGGCTTTTTTGTAGACAAGAGAAGGGAGAGGGGTCAACTTCAGTTTGTTTATATGTATTTGTTTTTATGATATGGTAAATTTTTGAAAAAGGAAAGAAAACACTCATTTTAAAATATAGGTCACAGTTCCAAAACAGTGCAGAAGCCAAAGTGGAAGTCTTTGGGAAAAAAAGATGGATAGACGATTGATAGATAGATGATAGATAGATAGATAGATAGATAGATAGATAGATAGACAGACAGACAGACAGATGGAGGCATGAATTAAATTGAAATGAGTTCTCATCATCCAACAGATCACTGTAAAATGTACTTGAAAAATGAAAATTGTGTGTCTATATGTAGTGTCATATTTATTTTTTCTAGAGGAGAAGTGAGGGAGTATTTTTGCTAATGCTTTGCTTTTAATACTCACTACCTCTATTTGAATTAAGTATAAGCCAGTGGTCATCACCCCAGACATGATCATGATGACTCAGTATGAGGATTAATTACAAAAGTAATCATGTCCGTTATCTAATTATTCAAATCTTAATTGCAACTCTGTTGGCCCAATTAGTCCAGAACGCAAGGCTAATGTTAGGGATGGGTGGACACTCAGCATCTGTGCCTAACTGAGAGGCATCTGTTGCCAAGAGGTGAAGTGATGGAAAGTGTCCATTCACCAGCTGTGAAGCAAACACGTCTTAGAAAAGCACACAGGAGTCACAACAAAATGCAGCCCACGGGGCTGGGGGTAGGGGAGGGGAAGATGTGGTAATGCTTCTGAGGCATCTGTTATCCCCTGGATGCACCACAGATCTCAAGCCATTGCATGTGCCACTATTGAGCACTATGATTAAAAATAGAAATTTTTTTTAAAAAGATATTTCTATTTCTTGTCCTTCACTAGTGGATAATGCTATAAAAAGAAACGGGCTAGCTACAAATTTTTAACAAATAAATGTTTTTATAAATTTATTAGAACCATTTATGGCTCCTTTCGTTTCCTTGATCCATGTTATGCCTAATAAAAGAAATAGAATTGTACAGATCGAATATCTACTTATGTTAAGTATAAGTAATAAAATAATAGATCTCCTGATTGTTACTATTGATTTTGACTTTAGTAGCATACAGTATGCAATATCTCAGCATCTGATATATTTATATGCTATTATTGATTTTGACCATATTCTATAGGAAAGATTCTCTTAATAATGTTATTGATTTTTAAAATATTATTAATATTTATCAACCTCTCATGTTGGTATATAATCATTATTGAACTATAATCAATTGTTAGTGAAAGAGAAGCAGCTGTATAAAGCATGACAAAACTGATTAGAAATTTAAGTACATCAGCTTTTGACCTAGCTGTGGATTTGCTTTCACTGTTTATCGGCAGTGTCATGGTTTCAAGTTTTTATTAATCCACATTTTGAAACAAACAAATGGAAGAGTGTTTAAGTTCACTGAAGTTGGAAAATGTTAATTTACAGGAAATGTATATACATCTTGCTTCTGAGTATAATAGAAATGATTTCAGCTTTTCACATTGGTTTCACAGAAGAAAATTACACTTCAAGAAAATTAAAAGAGTTTGGGGAGCATTTTCAGCATTGCATCTCCATGCTCCCTTGTTATTGAATCACAATAAGAAACCCTGTTAGTTCTCCTGAGCAAATTGCTTTCCACAATTATGGTTTATGTTTTAATGGAGATAGCTTCACATTAGGAGAATTATTCCAAACCAGCATCGCTTCTTGATGCAGCACAGAAGAGCACCCTGCCTCCTTTACAGAATCCATGCCTCCCATGTTGCCTCTAAGGAAAATATATAAATAAATGCTTGCCAGTCTTGCTTCTGAGAGAGTTTTAATTGAGGATAATGAAACATCCCTAGCTCCAAAGCGAGAGTATGATGGCCACAAAGTCCTTTAAAATGCTAATAGGCACAGGACACTTGTGGACGTTATGTGAGATTACATGGTGTAGAAATGGTGTACGTAGGTGACAGTTTGTCAGATTTAGCTGCAGCAATCATACTTATTTTCTCCATTTCTATTTGTGATGCCAATGTGAACGAAAAATGTAGGATGATACAAAGTTGGACCCTCAGCACTAAGCATCCTGCCTCTCTCTCTCTGTCTGTTTTGTGTTGCTCTAAAGGAATACCTTTGACTGGGTAATTAGTAAAGAATAGAGATTAGTTTAGCTCATGGTTCTGCAGGCTGAGAAGTTCAAGGCCATAGCCCTGGTTTCTTGCAAGGGCTTTCGTGCTGTGTCACAACATGGTGAAGGCCAAAGGGGAAATGAACTCATGTGAAGAGAGGGAAACCTGAGGGGCACCCTGGCTCTATTACAATCCACTCTCACAAGAACAAATCCATTCCCAAGGGAAGTAATCCAGTCTTGTGAGAGTGGGAACTCACTACTAGGATCACAGCACCAAGCCATCCATCAGGGATCCACCCCCACAACCCAAACACCTCCCAACTAGACCCCACCTCCCAACACCTACATGCTGGGAATCAAATTTCAAAATGCACTTTGGTGGAGAACAACCAACCCTATTCAAATGACAGCACTGCCCTTCCTGCTATAGGGCATCTGCATAACACTCATAAAAAGAGTTCCAGAGGACCAGCAAGACAAAGAACCATTAATTACGCATGGTTTAATGTTTCTAGTTCCCATTTCCTCTATTTCAGTTGTATTCCACCTGCAGAACTCCTCTCTCATTTTAAATCAGTGACAACGTGAACAGCGCGTGTATACTTTAAGCAACTTACCAATTCAAGTGGGTTGCCTCAGCTGTAAGACATGAACTCAGAAGTGATAAAGCTTGGCACTGCTTCAGTAAAATGGAATAAGAAATCACTTTGACAGAGCTTAGATTCTAGTCTGGGTTGCTAAATGTAGTTTTTTCTTTCTTTCTTTTTTTTTTTTTCCTCTTTCAAGGTTGATGTTCTTTATTTTTATGTGGAGTATATCTTATGTGACAGCACAGGAAGAAATGTAGGCAGCCCAGGTTAATGCATTCGTGGTCACAATGAACTTGAAAGTGAAGGAAATCAGCTCTCTTGAGACATTCTGCTAGCATTCACCAGTTTAAAGGGAATCTTGATTAAATGGCAACAGTTATGGTGATGCCAAGAAATATGAGAGGCATGAAAGAAAAACTTTCAGTTGCTTATTAAACAAAGGGGACCTCTTTATTTCCTCTTGACTGCAATACAACACAAAGGCATGGCTTAGAATGCTTTCGTGTTGCAGCCTTTTCCACCTCAGGGATTTATAATTGGGACATTTTCATTTTTAAGTTGAAAGCGTTGGTCTCTGGGATTTAAGATGATAAGTGTCTTCCCTCAGCTTCATCACCTGCCAGCAATATAAGCACCATCTGCCCAGATGCCAGAGACTGGTCTATTACTCCTAGGGGACCTCACATGTGTTCGTGTGAGTGTTTGCATAAGAGCAATCAGTTGCAAACCACGTGCACTTATTAGTAACACCAGTAACTTTGTATATGTTTCCGTTCTGAATTTCCACGCTGAATATCTATTTTGTTTTATAAATTTATATTGTAAATAAATTTAAATATTATGGAACATTTAAACTTGAAGTTTAGGTTCAATCCCTAAAACTGTACTTTAAGTATTTTCTTCAAGATATTTACAGTTAGATATTTTTCATTAATATTTCTTATTTATTTAGTGCTTTTACGAGCATGTTTTGCTATTTTACTCCACATTGGAAGGATACATTTTCCAGTTTCTATCAACTGTGTCATTACAACTTATTTGTTATTTCAAAGTGTCTTTTGCAGGTATATAAAAATGCTGGCCGGGCTCAGTGACTCACACTTGTAATCCCAGCACTTTGGGAGGCCAAGGCAGGGGCATCACTTGAGGTCAGGAGTTCAAGACCAGCCTGCCTAACGTGGTGAAAAGCTGCCTCTAATAAAAATACAAAAATTAGCTGGGCATGGTGGTGCGCACCTGTAATCCCAACTTCTCAGGAGTCTGAAGCAGGAGCATCACTTGAACCCGGAAGGCAGAGGTTGCAGTGAGCTGAGATCACATCACTGCACTCCAGCCTGGGCAAAAGACGGAGACTCTGTCTCAAAAAACAAACAAACAAACAAAAAACCAAACACAAATCCGTAGATTTTGGCTGCTGTATCTCTCACACTACTGAAAAAATGTGAATAGATTTTCACTGGTTAATCTACAATCATTTGGCACAGCTTGACTATATGGTTAGATATTAATTTCAGAACTTTTTCTGATAAATTCAAATCAAAATGAAGTGGGTGAAGGACTTGGTATTATTACATTTCTTTTGAGGATTTTACTGAATGACAATAGTTATTGACTTTTTAAAAAATTCTTCATATATGTGTGTTTCAAATTGACTTTGAAAGAGGCAGTGTTACTTTTGCCTAAATCTTATGCCGCGCATACAAGAAGTCAGTACAAAATTAAGATTCTTAATAATGTCAGGCACTTAACTGTAGAGAGATCTTACTCAAGGGCACTTAAGGAGAGAAGATTCCCCTGAGAAGATGCCCAGATGCAATTCTGTCAGGTGTACTTAGAACCAAATGAATGACTCAAGTATTTCTCTTCAGAATGTTCTGGGAATCACAAATGTGCTTAATTTGACCAGGTTCTCCTACTGGTTATGATGAAGTCCTTCAATATTGTTTTTTACTGTTCTTAATGCAAATCACAGAGGATTTTCTTCCTTTCATACACCTTAGCATACACAAAGAAAGAGTGGCATATAGATATAAATCTTTTTTGTGGAATAAATGTAAATGGAACTGATTTCCCAAAACCCACTTCATTCCCTATTTTAGTGATAATCAGTAAAACTCCTACCACAATAGAAAATTTAAAAATCTTGCTGCATTGTCAGATTTCTTTTGTCCCATGAAGCATCTTCACTTACCTTATGACAAATAAGCACTAGGACCTTCTCACTTATACACGGAAATGTGTTTGAGACAATGAATAGTAAATAATGTCATCTACATGAAAAGGGACACACTGTGAATGTCAAGGTAAAAGTCTTTGATTCTATGGTACACAATTTCTATTTCTCCCAACCAATTTAGGATTCAGGTTACATGCCAGCAGCTCACGTGTGCCATTTCTGCATAAATAGTTTTGTAACATGCCTTGATATGTGAATCAAAGACCAACCTGGCCAACATGGTGAAACCTGCCTCTACTATAAATAAAAAAATTAGCCAGGCATGGAGGTGCACACCTGTAATCCCAGCTACTTGGGAGGCTGAGGCAGGAGAATCGCTTGAACCTGGGAGGCAGAGATTGCAGTGAGCCAAGATTGCACCATTGCACGCCAGCCTGAGCGACAAAAGTGAAACTCCTTCTCAAAAAAAAGAAAAAAAAAAACAAAAGAGAGAGAGAGAAGGAGGACTCTGTTTCTTTCTGCAGATGAACAAAAAGAATATTTTATTTGCCAGAAGTAGAAGGGAGAAGGAAGATTTATAAGCACACATCTTTAGATAAACTGTGGGAGCTAAATGATGAGAACACATGGATGGATAGAGAGGAACAACACACACTGGGGCCTTTCAGAGAGGGTAGGGTGGGAGAGGGGAGGGGATCAGGAAAATTAACTAATGTGTACTAGGTTTAATACCTGGGCAATGAAATCATCTGTACAACAAACCCCCATGACAGAAGTTTACCTATGTAACAAACCTGCACTTTCACCCTTGAACTTAAAAGCTTTTTAAAAAATGACTTTAGTGCTGTGTACTAGGTATTGTGTGACTTGGCAACATTTTCCACATGGAGAAATGAAGAGTCTGAGACTACTGTTGGGGGGAATGATATTCACAGCAGAGTAAGGGGCATGGCTGGCTTACATCCGGACTTTGAGCTGGTTCTGCACATGTGAAGTAAGGACAGGAGTTCTAAATAAGAAGAAGATGTAGTTCTCAGGAGGATTTATTTTTCTCTGTTCCAATCCATTCTTTCTTTCTCAGGATTTGCTGTGTTCATTGTCGTGCATATACATATATCAAGGCAGTTATTCTTCATTTGCTTTGGACCACTAGTTTCACAATTACTAGTTATGAAAATTTTAGACACAGAGGACAGATCTCGCTATAGTTGTTGAGGAATGGTTGAAGAAGGAGCTCTAGGCAAGAGATATTTAAGGCTCTGAAATTATCTTTTGCCTTAACTTTGCCTCAGGGGAAAAAAATGTTGTTATACGTGTTACTAGTGATATTTACACGATATATATTTTTTGGAAATGGAAAACTATTTTTAGTTTCAAAAACCAAGGGTCAATTTTATGAACCCATCTCACTACTTCTAATCTAGGACTCTATCAAGAATAACTTTATTATCTCTTAGGCGTGTGTTACATGCCAAAAACTTTGGATTTATTGTCTTAGTCCTCTCTACAGTCTTAAGAGTAGCCATTGTTGCCCATTTAATAAAGTAACAAAAAAAAACCGAGTTAAGAAACATTTCATGCCTTATCTAAAATCATACCCTTAACCACACAACTGGAAGGTCACACCCAGGTTTCTCTAATTCCATACTTTGTAATTTTTTTTATCACTAGGGTATTTATTCTTCCTTTGCAAACTAGCCATTCTTCATATATTAGGACAGAAAATAAAAATAGGCCATTAATGACTCTACTCTAGTTATTTTCGTGTAGAAAGGACCCTTTCTAACTGTCAAGTCTCTTGCTTTTGGGGGATATTTCTGACTGTATCACTGCTTTCTTTATCCTTTCAGTTTGATGACTTCGCAGAATGCCTTATGGCTTTCTGGGATTTTTTAACATTGCACTTGACTTTCAGTCAATTCTGTTTAGCTCGTAAGATTTCTTGTGTCCTGTGGGTTTGAGTGAGATTGTCCCTGCTGATCCTTAGCAGTAGTACCTACAGGTGCCCCTTCCTTCTTACGGCAAGGTCAGGGAGAATTCTTAGTGACTTGCATGAAATAGAGTAAATGCTGTATTTTAAGGGTAAAATGTTTGGTTTCATTAAATTTCACGAGAAGAAATCACCCGTTTCCATGTGCTTTCTTATCTGGTTACCACCATATAGTTCTTTCTTCTTTATAAGAAAAAAATATTTTAAAAGTAGTCTGTGCTATAACTTCTGATTCTTTTCTGTCCCATGCACTTTACAACAGGCTTTATAGCTGCCTGTCTAGCTCCAATAACAACACACTTGATAATCCTAAAAACAAATTCTGATCACCAAATATTATAAGCAATATTTTATTTAGTCCTCATCTTGATTCACCACTCTCTCCTTGAATGTCTCTCACTTCGCTTGGTTTTTATTCCCAAATTTCTTGCTGTTTTATTTCTACCCATGTAGCCATTTCTTTTTAATTTTCTTTGGCTCAAATTCTTTCATTCTCCTTCTAAGATTATTCCTGTGGTTGAGCCAAAGCCAGTCTCTATGTGTTCCCAGCCACATTCATAACTTTATCTGCAACTTGTACCAATGACTGTCAAATTTGTTTCATCAGTCCACTTCTCTCTTTGAGCACCGTGTAGTACTTATCTCTATTATTCTTCTAAACTTCTCCATGCTAAACAACTAAAGTTCCGCCTTTGGAAAATGTAACTGAGAATTCACCATAAAATGCTTCATCGCTATCTTCTTATTGGCACTATAAGCTCTAATCAGTTGTAGAGAAAGTTCTACAACTCATTAGAACTTATAGTGTTGATCATTTGCTCATGAGGCCTCTCTTACCTTGGGTCCAGCCCAGCCAGTCAGAAACAATCACTACATTAATCTAAGTATCTCTCAGTTGCACTTTCTCATCTATAACCCAACTGCTGTGCCTTCATCAATATCTTCAGTCCAGGCAGGATCTTGGGCTATTAATATAGCCTCCAAAAATATTTCCCTATTTTTAGAACACCCGCACTCCATCTGTTCCTTTTATTTTCCTATTGTGTAAAATTTCTAAAAACAAAAATTAACTGTGCTCCCACCCTGCATAGTTATCTCAATACAGCTCATTCTAACAGGCAAAATATTCTTTTAGCTGAGCATTTATGGAGAAACAAACATCTACCAAACTAGGTACTGAAGAAACAGTGGTAACGCTGATGCAATCCTCTTATGGTAGGTAAAAGGGACTGTAATCAAATCACTTAGCAAACAAAGGTACAATTACAACACCAACATGTGGAATGCATATATTGAGGTGACTTGAGAAACCTGGGAAGTCAGAGAGGGAGACTTTAAGTTGCAAACTGAAAAATGATAAAAGCTAGGTTAGAAAAAAAGGAATCTAAACAAGGGAAACAAAGTGAATACAATTCCTTAAGTAGGAAGAGGCTCGGAAAATTTAAGAAATGAAAGATCAGTATATTTGAACAGAGAGAAGAAATAAGAGAATGTGACTAATTGTTCAGGTCGTAAAAACTATAAACCTAGTCTTTATTCTAAATTCAAAGAAAACTAATTATAGGGTTTAAAGATGGAGCGGGGGAGTGATATACTTAGAAAACAGATTGAAAAAGTCAGAGTGCATGGAGTGCAGCAGAATAGAAGATATTGCCAGAAAGAGATCAAGATAGCTTGGGATATAAAGATTGTAGTGAGTATGGAGAGATGTGGCAAGACTTCCGGGATGATTTGGGAGTAGTTTCTTAATATGTGATTAAAAATTTTAAGTACTCATATATGGATGGCATGGGGCACAGAGGAATCAAAGAGAGAGAGAGAGATCAAGGATGACTCCCAGATGTCTAATTTGCAGAAAGGGAAATTACCATTCCCTGAAATTAGGAGCCAAGAAAAAAGACAGATATTGATGGAAGAAACAGGGCAAGATGATAGTGTCTGCTTTTGTGTACATTATATTAAATGTGCCATAAAACATAACACCAAAGAGTATTTGGAAATTGTTAAGTGCATGCGAATAAAACTAAAAAGAATCTCAAAATAAAAAATATAAATAAGCCCGAGATTGAAATATAAATATTGGGAACATTGGCACAAAATAGCAAATAGAACTCTAGACATAAATGTGCTTATGTGGGGAGAGAATATAGATCTCTAAGAAAAAAAGGCAAAGATGAGTCTTTCAGAATTTCACTATTTTATGTTTCCATAGAAGATGAGATGTCTAAGGAGACTGTAAAGGAGGATGGGGAAGAATGCTGAGGAGAATAGGGGACTTCTATGTGATAAAGGAGAGGGAAGACTTTCTAGGTGAAGGGGGTCATCAAGTATCTCTAGGAATATGAATGCAAAAAAAAAAGCTTATTAATGTTTATTAGATTTGTTCACATGGAACTTTATACGTGACCCTATCAACAACTTTCATAAGTTAATAGGAATTTGAAGGGAAATTACAGCCAATTGCAAATGTTAGTGGGAGAGAAAGAAATGAACAGAGATTCAGACGATATGCAATGCTTCATGATAATTTTGCTTGTGAGGGAGGAGAGGATGATCTGCTGTCCAACAGAGGGTCTGTGTGTCTATTTTTGTAAGTAATCTGAAGGGGTTTACATACACAGGGGAAGGATTTAGTTAAGTAGTCAATGTCAGATACATCAAAGAGATAACGTAATTCAAGGTACCCCAAATTATGTGCCTTTTGATGTCTAACAAATAATCTGACTCAATACAAGCAAGACAACTAGATATAAAGTCATAAACAATTATAGATTCTGTGGGTAACTGCAGTGTATTCTCTATGGGCATTCAAATTCAAAAACTGGCTGGGCACGGTGGCTCATGCCCATAATCCCAGCACTTTGGGAGGCTGAGACAGACAGATCACTTGAGGTCAGGAGTTCGAGACCAGCCTGGCCAACATGGCAAAACCCCGTCTCTAAAGTTAGCCAGGCATCGTGGTGCATGCCTATAATCCCAGCTACTCGGAGGCTAAGTCAGGAAAATCGCTTGAAACCCGGGAGGCAGAGGTTGCAGTGAGTTGATATCGCCCCACTGCACTCCAGCTTGGGCGACAAAGTGAAACTCCGTCTCAAAAAATAAAAAATTAAAAATTAAAAAAATTAAAAAAATTAAAAACTGTGATTTTTGTATTGAGTATTGAAAACTTTGGCAAAAGGATAGTCTTACAGACACAAATAGATGATTGATGTACTGTAAAAGGAAAAAAAATTAAGTCACTGTAGACTTAGGTGAGTTTGTTGTAGGTTGCGGGAAGAAAAGATTAATTGGTTCTCTATCAATAGGTCCAGTTTTCTCTAAGTAGATAACAAAGTCATTTCCTGAAACTGGAGCTGAAATGTAAAAGGACTGAGGAAAGTGAGTGGCTGTAGGGTGAG
The DNA here is from genome assembly GCF_000001405.40 of Homo sapiens. Lineage (NCBI taxonomy): Eukaryota > Metazoa > Chordata > Mammalia > Primates > Hominidae > Homo > Homo sapiens. Next base: position 1,900,830 of record NW_025791777.1, on the reverse strand, counting down.
TTAGGTAGGGAAAAAAGCAAAATTAGCCAGTGGAATGGTTTATGATCTAGGTTATTTCCTGTGGCATTCATGATGTGATCCATGTTTGCAGTAGATGTTATTGGAGAGAGAAAATTTCTAAGAATGTCCAAGTTCCTTCATAAATGAGGGAAATTAATGAGATATAATCTCCTTAACATAATTCATCCTTAATTATCTTTCTGACTTGGATTCATGGTCTTCCATGTTAGGCTTCCCACACAACAACCACAAGTACTCTGAAGTCACCGTGAATTTACCCACTCTGTTTGCATGTGTTAGTGGCTTCCTCTACTTGGTAATACCACTCTGTTTGGTGAATTAATGTTTCTTATTTTTTAAGATGCAGATGACACACATTTGCCACTCTTAGTACCTTCCTAAATCTCTAAACTTTAGAACTCTATAGGTGCTAAATTAATAGATGGAAGGCCAATTTGTTTAGTCACTTAAGTGTGAGTTTATTTTGAATTTGTTTCTGAAATCGTTGCTTAATTCTGTGGTACCATTCATTTTTATCCAGTGCAAATGCTAATGTGATCAAATTGAGAAACTTTAAAAACATATTCTGACCCACAGGAGCTATGTACCATCAACTAAAAAGTTGTTATTAAGGTAAACTTCAAGCCGTTATAATCTTTTAATTTATTGCATTTTAGAAGAATAATGATTGAATTTTAGATTTGTATTAAAATAACTTCTGAAACTTTTAATTTATCTTCCAACTTTACGATAATGAGCAAAATATCATAGTTTAAACTGAAATTTAATTACTTTTAAGACAAATTCTGAAAAGCTTTAAGCATTTTCTATTTATAGTACTAAATCTCCTCTTATTGGATGAAAGCAATAACCTGCCTCCAAAGAATACTCTATAGTATGTCATAAACCCATACTTGATAACAACACAAATAATCACAAGCAAATTAATTTTGCTTTCTTACATTCATTATCTATGGAAGAAAACCTCGTAAGAAATACATGTCCATGTACATAGATGAATTCTGTTTTGTTTGGAAGAATGCGTAAGTTTGAAATGCTATGTTTACCAGGAGTCTCCTCACTGCTACTATTTATTAACTGCCTATTATGTGCCAATACTTCTTTCAGTACTCAACATTTATGAGATCATTTTAATCCTAGAAGAGCAAGGATTATCACCCTTGTATTCCAGATGATAAAACTGCATTTTAAGTGCATATGCTTCAATTTGAACTCAGACCCACTTGAGTCCTCACCTCACAGTCTTAACCATTGTGCAAGTCTGTCTTTTCAGAGTTAAAATATTAAAGAGATTTTCAAATGCAAATCATTTTAGTGCATTTGTTATTAAAGTGCAATATATTCCTTAAATCAAATTAGAAAGCAGAAAGGGAAAGTTCCTTTAATTCCAGACTCATAAAGATGCCAACATTTTCATGTCTATTATATCTTTTCTTGGTATAGTAGAACCACAAAACAACAAGTTTATTTGACTCTCAGTTTTACAAAGTTAAAAAGATTGATAATACCTAGAGTTCACAGTATGTGAGGAAAAGGGTACCCTGAGGACTATTGGTAAGAGTATGAATTGGTGTTACTCTTCAGAATGGCAACTTGCCAATATGTGTTAAATGTTAACAGCATTTATCTAGCAGTTTCAGCTTCTAAGAGTTTAATTAATAGAAACAATCAGAAAAAGACACAAAGATTGATGAATAAACTATCTGTTGCATAAAGAGATGTTCATTGTTTATAACAGAAAAGTGATTTTACAAATTAGAAATACATAGATATTCAAAAGTAAATTTTCTGCAAAAAAATTACTATTAATACCATAGGTATTTATAATTTTGAGGATATCTGATATCCCCTATCACAATAATCTATCACAACAACCCAAGGAAGGCTTTAATCAGCATAAGAATAATTAAGTCAATGATATCTCTGGTATCCATGGTATTTGAGCTGAGTCCACATCTGAAGGAGTTTAACTTTGAGATCTAATCTGAAATCTAAATAGAAGTTAGCATGAGAAAGGATAGGTGTTAAAATTCTGCTGGGCAGAGAGGCATGACCAATTAGATCTAAGGGATGAGAGGTAGCCTTGACTATTTAGGAAATAATAAATATCTTGGTATTCCTGAAACACGGTGTGGATACATGCCAGTGAGGGAAGATGCAGCTGGAGAAGTCAACAGCAATCGTGTTACTTTCTCTTTCTTTCACCATCAGTAGTGATATCTTCATTTACTATCGTCTGTTTTTCACAATTTGAACATAGTAAAATGTTATTTTATGATTGGAATTAAGTGTTCACCGTGCTATGTTTAGTAAGCTAGCTACCTTTTAATTTGTCAAACCATCTCTCTATCTACTTAAAAACCAACAGAGTCGTTGAAGCTAAAAGAGAAATGTCCAGAGGATGTTTTTAGAGAAAAGAACACATGAAGCAACCCCTCTCTCAGTTGTGTGTCTATATAAGTGTTTGATGGTGTGATAGGTGGGTGGCTCTCCTCATATTTTTCCAAGTCTCACAGAGAGAGGTTGCTCTAGAATAGCAGCCCCCATGGCCGTGATCCAGCCATGTGTGATTAATTTCTAAATGTGGAAATCAAAGCCAGCTTTAATCAGTTTCAAAGCTATATAGAGATCCAATAGAAGAGTAACTCCAGATTAAAGTCTGTGCTTGAATATGGATTTTCTTTGAATAGTTGGATTTTCAAAGAATTTGTGAAATTTTTTAGGTTGATACTATATCTACTTGTGCTACATAATTTAAACATGAGATTCATTATTCCTTCCCCTGTGAAGCAAGGTTTTCAGGCACTAAGTTCTACAGAGGGATTCCCACACCCAAATTACAGGAAACTTACTCCTGTTTCGGCAATATATTTTCATTTCATTTAGAAGATAAATACAACTAATGAGAAAAAAGCAAAGCTACTTCTGTGTGAAAAAAATAGGTAGGGAAATTTGTGATTTCACCATAAAATAATCATGTGATTTGTGTCAGCATTTCCATTAATCAGGATTTCTGCAGAACCTGCAACGTGCTAAGTACTGAGGGTAGAGTAACCACCTAGGAAGTCAAAATCCCTGTTTCATGCCATTTATAATACCATTTACATTCAGTGAAGCAAGAAACAAATATGTATTATGTCAGGTTATCATAAATACTATTGATTACAATAAAAGGCAGGGTTGGAGGGTAGCAGATATGAGCATATGCCTGTGTGTGAATCAGTAGTGTGGGTAGCTTGTCTGATCATATGGCAGCTTGGTTGAGGCATGAGCAAAGAGGCAAAGCATGAAGATATCGAGGGAAAGGCATTGCAGGCAAATGGGGCTGCAGGATAGTGAGGGAAGTCAGAGGTGATACAGGAGGAAGTGAAAGAGGTAGAAAGTGCCCCAACTCTATGAGGGCTCTGAGTTTGGACATGCTCCTAGCAGAAGAGTGATATGATCTGATTAAATGATCACTCCCACTCCCCTGTGGAAGAGATCTGGTTTGACTGGTAGGAGAGCAGAAGCAGAGAGACAAGATAGGGTGGCAGTTAGGCAGAAAGTGACAGTAGCTTGGAATACGGTATTCATAATGGAGAGATACCAAGTGCAAGGATTGAAAAGACACTTGGGGTAGAACTAACCAGACTCTGCTATTGGAATAGATAAGGAAGGAATAAAAAGATGACACCTAGCATTTGGTATGAGAAACAAAGCTGCTGGCTTATTTAGGTGAGGAAGGCAGGAAGAAAGCAAAATAGAAGATAATTGAGCAGAGAATGTTATATAACAAACGTGATCATCTGAACACAGCTATTTAAAGTATCAGAAAGACTGTTTCCTAAAACACATGGATTAAGATACTATATATTGATCAGTTAAACTTAATCTGGAGACAGACTTTCAAAAAAAGAAACAAAACAACAAAACAATGAAGGGATTTACATGTTTACATGGTTTTGAATCTTTCATTCAAATATGAAAAGTGAAAATCTTGCCACTGCATTCAGATATACAAAGTTTGTCCTGGATTATAAGGATGATATGGGCATTCACACCCTAATACCCCGAAGTGTATATATGTGATAGAGTTTGTTTGAAGATAATGTATACACTGAGAACTAGGACGACTCAAATGAGCCCCAGTTGCTCAATAATCCATAGAGACGTGTTAAAGCAGATTGAGCTGGACTGGATTCAGCACAGAAAGGGTTCCGGGAAGGAGATACCAGCCCTATAATGATCTACACATTTTTAGGAGTGGAGAAAGGAAGAAAATAAACATCTAGTAACCCTGTGATGATTGGTGCTTCTTGGTTTAGGAAGTGGCCGAGTTAAAAGGAGAAAGCTCCTGAGCTCAGCCTCTGGTCCTATTTATTGCGCTAGTTCAGGTGAGCTGATCCAGTTTCTTGCTAAGTCACTGAAAGGGTGGAGGAGATGAGCCATCAGGGATATCTAGAATTTTCTCTCCTTACCCTGATTAGACTTCATTCTGCCATCAGCATTCACGCTCTCTGTTGTAGGTTGACCTACATAGATACCACCTATACAGATTCCTTTTACAGGCATGTCCCATTCAACCTATAAATCTTTAGCTGCATTATTTTATTTTCTATTCTTTTTAATTAACGCCATATATTTCTTAATTTTGGTTATAAAAAATTTACATTTCCTTCTGATACTTAGGAAAACTCAAGCCTGGGAAATCCGCAAAGAAATGCATTTATATATATATATACATATTTTTTTTTCATTCTCAAGTTTTCCAAATAGATTTATATTAGCTTTCTGTTTGATCCTGAACTTCTGAGTCCTTCTGGCATTTAACAGAATAACCTGATAGACACAGAAGAAGCTACCATATTTTGCTTTAAACAATTTTTTCTACATCTGACATGGATAGATGGTTTACTATTTGTGAAGAAGAAAAATGTGTCTGTACATTAAATTTTCTAAATTAATGCTATTACACACAATGTGTAACAAATACTGATAATCTGTTAAACCAGGCATGTTTAGAAACCCTATTAAACCTAAAAGAGAGAACTAAATTTATTTACGAGACAATTCACAAAGTAAAAGCATTTCTTTAAATCTGAAATGTGATTGAGAATGAGGGTTTTTGTATGTGCTAAATAATTAGGCATTTAATTCATTAGTATTTATTTTAAAATATTAATTTAACTCTAGGTAAGTAGGTATAGGACATTTATAATAATAACAATGTGGAAGACTAATAAATGATATAAATAGAGTCATTAGAGCCTTGAGATGGTTGCTAGTGTCTTATATTCCTGGCACAGCAAAATTTCTTTCAAAATTAATACAATTTAAAGACAGTTCATTAAAATGTATAGCTTTGCAAATTGAGTTGACATTAGTTATCTGTATGGTTGTGCATATATAAAGCATATTTGCAACTTTTTACCATTGATGACCAGAGTGTGGTGGATTCGGTTAATTAGAAATCCACATTAATATACCCTCTTTTTAGTGTATTTTGACTCAGTCTTTACTTGTCCTCAAGATAAATGGTATTGACTGATTCCCATGGTTCACTTAATAGAACAGGTAGAACTCCATTTGTATTCATTATGGTCGGTCTATATTAATCATTCCATTTCTTACCTAAAGCTATGTCAGGACATATTTTCCAATTCATGATTTCTGCCTGATTTTTCACTAAATTCTAGGCTTGTAGTTTAGTTAAAAAACAAAACTTAATTACAGTTTTGAAAAGCTTTTAGAAATGCCATTGGATCTTGAACTGATTAAACAAACCATTTTGTTATATCAATGTGTTGACAAACTATTAGGGACATAGTCATACTTCTTGTTTTTGCTTTAATTTTAACTTACTATTAAATTAGACGAAATTTGAAGCAAGTTTTATTTTTGAAGTATTTACAAAGTTCAAGGTACTGCGCAAGGTACTGAAAGAAATACAAGAGAAGTAGAGCTTTAAGCATGTGTTTAGTGTAATGAAGACAACACAGGATTTAGTCAAAGTTGAGGACATTTTATTTTGAATTTCCAATGAATCTTGTGCCACATTTTTTACATCAACCTTGTCATCTATAGAATGAGAATACTAACAATTATTGATCTACTTACTTCAAATGTTTTGTGAAAATGAAATGATATTTATTCCTAAAGCATTGCATGCATTACAAATCACAATACTTATATTCACCTAATGTGTTTCACAGAATACTAGTAATTCTATGAGTATAACCACAAGTGATTCCTGGCCAAACATGTTTGGGAAATGCAGCATACTATCTCCATTCCACTTGGAGTGGCATGTGGCATATCAGCTTTTACAGGCTCAACTATTTTTTCTAGACTAGGATTCTCCACATTTCTTTAAGCGTACTTTATCATAAAATACTAATTAGCATTGCAAAAAATTATGGTAACATCGAAAATACTAAGGAAATTACACATTATGTAAGTGTTAGCTGTGCTTTTACTATCACAGTGTATGTGGTAGGAGTAACAATTTTAGTATATGAATAGCTACAGCACACAGCAGGCAAACAGTATAATAAAAGTAGTAAAAATTACATCATACCATCTCATAGGAAGGAAGAGTTAACCAAGGTTGTAAAAATCGAAGTAATTCTTCAAAATATTTGAATATCTAATCTGTATATAGGATTCTATTTGGATGTCTGGGATATCCAAGCCTAATCCTATATAAGGGTTAGATATCTAAGTCTAATTCTATATACAGGTTATTTCAAATATTTTAAAGCATTTGAAATAGTTATTAGTATTTATTTAATATTTATTAATAACTATTAATAAATATTAATAGTTATTAATATTTATATTATATAAAAGTGTATGTATTATAATTATATAAATTTCATAAATTATATTATATTATATAAATTATATAAATTATATTAGATTTATAAAATGTAAATTATATTATATAATTACATAAATTATATAATTATAAAATTTAAATTATATAAATTATATAATTATATAACATAAATCACATATATGTAATTAAATGTGTACATTTAGCACATGTATGTACATACATGTACACACAGGCCACCACCACTGCCAAAAGTATTATGCTAAATAAAAATCAATAAAGCAAAATGTAAATGATGTATTACAGAGGACAGAACATAGAAATGGGCAGCCTAGTTTGATAAAGTTTGTTTTGTGGATATGTTAATCCTTACATGTCAATTTGACATCTAGAAGAAAACACAAACCAGACAAAAATGTCATTGGTTCTGATTAATGAGTCTTGGGTAATGTCTGTATTTGAGTTTGAGAAAAGATGGGTTGTGGGTCATCCTCAGAATTACAAAATTAGGAGAAAATTCAGTACAATACAATGACACAGCATCTAATGAACTAAAAATTTCTTTCATTTTGCTATGTAAAATTTGCATTAATATATATTTAAAATTAAAATCAATTGAATGAATTCACTCTCACCATGCAAATATTAAAAAATAGAGAAAAAAGGAAATGCATTCAATAAAATATAAGAGTAACAGTAGACAGTATACAGTCATCTACCCAATAGACATCCCTCTTCCCTGTTTAGAGACTATGACTTATGTTCCGAAAACCACATTCATTCACAAAGCAACGGAATTTAAGGAAAGAGACCTCCCAGTTCCTGATGAAAGAAGTGAATCTTGACTAATTTAGCTAACTGTGAACCTTTTAGCCCTCTTGCTATTTGTTTTAGGAACAAACATGCTGCAAAGTTTCAGCCAATGAGATACAAGGGAAATGATTTCTTGTGGGGCTTTAAGAGAGAAACAAGGAAGATTGAGTTCTTGTTCTTGCAGATCCTGATGTGTGTCAATTGGTAGATGGAGCTGCTTCAGTCATCTTCAAGGAGCAGATAAGAGGCTCAGGTAACATGCTGAGGAGTCTAGTGAATAAAGAGGGAAAAAGTGTGGATCCTTGATGATGCTGTTGAGGTGCTGAATTTAAAATTAAGTTAGTTTGCCTTGGATGTCTTGTTTGGAGAGATGATAATTTCTTTTATCATTGAAAATATATTGTACTAGCACTTTATTTACAGCCCAAATCATTTCACTTGATGAAACATTAGAGAAGAAAATACTTGTTCTTTTTCCCAGATGCTATAACTTCACATAGCATTTCTATAATTTGTTTTCTGCATTTTCAAAAAATTGGAGGCATCTAAATTCAAAATCACAATGAACTTAAAATGTCTTCCCCAATTAATAGGAAGTGATGACACCTGTACATAGACAAGGAACTCAGGTTACCTTTCTCACTCCTACACCTGCTTTCTTTATCTCTCAATTCTCCTTAACTGATTTTCCCTCGGGGATCTTCCTGGATTAACCTTGCACAATTTGTCTTTAAAAAGATAGATCAGCAAGTTTTCCAGGTGATATATAACCAAACACTTCCACTTTCTTGAGCAAAGGGATAAACACAATACAAATGTAAATATAGGAGCTATGCAGTCTAAGGGAGTGGTTAAGCATGAGTGGTTTGAAGCCAATTTTAAAAGGATTAAGTTCTGACCCTACCACTTACTAGCTGTGTGGCCTCAGGCAAGGCATTTATGTTTCTGTGTCCTTCCTATAAAAAGTGAGGATATATCATTGGCATTCAGTATTATCGTAAGGATGAAGTGCTTATAAAAGTGCCACACAGATAGTATGCACTCTTAAATAAGCAACTAACAAACCATATAGAAGGCCGCCCTTTGCTTAGCTCATTTGGAAAGTCTAAATGTATGCCAAAGAATGTATATTTTAAGTCAATATGTGTTACACTCATATTATCAGAGGAAGTAATTTTCCTCATAACTATGGAGCAGTCAGTCACTGGTATTACATCTAAGCAACATCTTATAATAACAATGCTTAATAGCCATCTAGTACATTTATTCTAAGTAGCTGGGAGCACTTAACGAACATTATCCAATTAATCATTAGAGATTCCTGTGTGGTAAGTCGGAATTGCTATCTCAGCGTTAGTGATAATGATAGGGATATGCAAAGCCAGTCATCTGCATGATAAATCTGAATGACTTTCGCAGCATGTGGCCAGGAATAGAAGCAAAGGCCTGATTCCTTGTCAATGATGCTGTTCAGTGGACCACGCAAGTTCTTGGACTAGATATTCTTGGATTGTTTCTTTCCAAATAACATGGAAGCATATCTAATTTTAACTGTTAAAACTGGCAAAAAGACCCAAGTATTTGTGGACCTCTGACAGCACCTATTTTTAAGCATGTGTCTACTAACATTTGGGTTTTAGATGATCACGAATTCTAACAACTTAAAACTAACTGCTACCAACTGCTGCTTAATTAAAATTCTACTTAACAGTAGCTATGGACAAAATAAGTAAAATAAGATAAATGTTAATTTTAAAGTTCAATCTAATTGGAAGTTAGAAAAAAGTCATACTATTAAGATCATAATTATCACAAAAAATGTGGCACCAGCTCCCAAATTCAGTGAATTCGTGGTTCTGCTGCCAGAGGTTAGATTGTACAATGTTAACTGAGACATATTACTTTGACATAGAAAAGTGAGTTCAGAAGTAGACTGGGAAGAACGATAATTAGAGGAAAGCACTGAGTTTGAAAATTTAAAAAAGAAGCTTATATATAAGTTATATATAAGAAGCTTATATATAAGTTAACTCATCATTTGAATTGCCATTTCTCTAAGTGAACGTAAAACAAACCCTCCCAGCTTCAGGTAATCATTTATTTAACTACAGTAAATTATATCTACAATTTAGGATTGTTGTTAGCCTTAAAAATGTCAAAGAAGTACAATTGCCTTAAAAGTATTCAGGAAATGTTAGTATGTGAAATGTGAAAAGTCAATTGAATTATTCAATACATTCAATTCCCTCAAACTAACACACCTAGAAAATACATCGAGAAAATCAGAACAACTTAAAGTTTTTGATCATTATTATTATCTTTTGCCTTTGAATATTGATATCTTCAATAAAATGTATTCAAGAGAAGCAGGTCTGGCTATTATCATTCCCCCTCCACAGCCCCAGTAATTGTTTCTACTATTCTGAGGGACATTCAGCTTTCTGCCTTTGTAGGTGTGTTATTCAACTACACATTTCACCCTTTCACAATTTGCTAGGTGTCAGCTTTTTGGAAAATTAATCCAAAGATTGTAATGGCAAATAAAATTGTAGTGGTTTATTTCAATTAGGCATATTTTAAATAAGCAGTAAAGTTATATAACTTTAAGAAATAGGACCCTCATAGGAACATATGGAAGACATATATTAACAAGTATAGAACCTATATTTTCAGTACACATGGCTCAGGATGGAATCTCAAAAATACCACTTCCTAAATCTGTGACCTTAAACAAGTTAATGTACTATTTTAGAACTCTGGTTTTCTCGTGTATAAAACAGAGGTAACTCAGAAGGATAAGCATGTGACATAGAGAATACAATGAGATATTATATATCAATTAGCATTGTGCTTAGTCAGTGATATGCACTCAACAAACAATCATTTCTATCTCTCTCTTTCCCCTTGCATTATAAAATGTAGCCATAGATTCAGCCCTGAAAAGTAATGTCTATCATGGGTGTAATTATACTCTAGAATGCTAGGTGTAAATTATTTTATCTTTCAAGTGTGATTTTCTCAGAATGAGACTTTACTGTGAGGCTCGTCAAGGTCATTGTGTTAAACAATTCTGTCTGCATCCTCAAAGTCAGAGGTCTAACTAGGCTGCATAACAGTTTGACTGAAAAGGCACTATGCAAATCAAATGCATGCTGTCACTGTTATGGATACGACTGTTCATTTTTAGACGCATAGAAGGTTTCTCAACTGTAAGGAAGAACTTCGGCTCAGTAAGCAGGTTAGTGTGATTGATATTTTACTATGCAAGAGAGCAGAACAGAAATGAGTTCAACTTATAAAGTGTAAATTCTGTATCTCTTTATATGCATATATAAATATGAGTAGAAGAGGATAAAGTGAAAAAAAAGACAGAAAGACAAACCAAAAGAAAACAAAAGTAGAGAGAAATTGAGAGGCAAAAATAGGACAGAAAGGCAGAGAGAGAGGGAGACAGGAAGACAGACATGGACAGGAGGAGAGGGAAATGAGCAGGTCTGAATTAGACTAGAGAAACAGAGATTGGATGGACAAAGAAGCAGAAAGACAGTTGCAAAGACAAAAGATAAATGCATCTAGTGTAGTTGTACTGTTTTCTCATCTGAGAGAAAAAGAAATGATCCTTATTCATCCTTAGTGGAGCGTAGTTATTGTCAAGGGGAGGTCACTAGGGAAGATGTGTGCCTCACAGCAAAGACTGCTGTCTCTTTGTAGTATTTATTTGAACAGTGTGTGCCCCATGCGCACATTACTTACCTTGATTATTCTTTGAAGGAATATATTAGACCCTTTATTTTTATATATGACATATATCAGACATTGTACAACATAACTCAAAACAGTATTTGAATCATGTTCAACACAAATAATATGTGTCCATATGTGAAAGCTGCAAGGAGAGTCAGGATGGAAAGAACTTGAAAAGTAAAAATCACACAAACAGAAGCCGAATTGTGCTTATTTGCTCTTAGTTTTAATACAATGAGAAGGAAATGAGAGAAATAAGCATTATTACCATAAATGTGTATCCATCTGTCTTTGTTAGACTCTAATGCATAGTAAACAAATTATTTTAAAATTAAATGACTTCTTCCTTCAGCACTTTTATGCAGCATAAGTCCGTCAAAGATTTCTGACAAGAGCAAAATATATGAGCAATCACTATGTAAACAGAAAATACTATATTAGGCAGAGAATTGAGCTCTAACTCTGGAATCAAATTCAGAACAATGGACAGTGTCAGTGGGTTTAGAGAGGACTAGTAGTGTAATAACGGAAGAGGGGACATGAGAGAAAAAAGTCACATAATTTTAATTTCGATTCATTCAAATTAATGCATACTATAAATATACATATTATCTTTATGCACATGAACATATAGCACATTATTCCACAAAGTCAGGAGGCATGCTCAGCTAGGACAAAGATGATATTGGTACAGAACTACAGTGAATCAAAAGAGAAAAGAAAGAAAAATAAACACTCCACCTTTCTCTGACAATCCTCAGCTTCTCACCTTGGGTGCCATGAAAATTCTCTTATCATCCTTCGGTTGCTATATGTGGCAGTTACATGTATTGAGAGGAAAAAGAACCTTATAAAAATGATGGAAAATGTGTCCATCTAATGGTGGTGTTTTGACCAGAGTTTGAGGAAAATCAAGATGATTGAGAAAGTAAAGGATGATGTCACCCTTTAGATCAGGTGTACTCATGTGCCAGAGGAAAGCTATTAGAAATGGAATATGGATTTTCAAAGCTTAACTTTAATGTCATGAACAAAGCAGACCTAAGGGAGTCACAGACATAATACATCGTAAAAGAAAATAGCCAAATCTATGTAAAATAAGAGTATTTAATACTCATCATGATGTTATTAACTATTTATAGCACTATAAATTTATAGTATCTGTAAGTATCAAAGTAGAATTATAGTTTTAAATTATGTCTTTGAAAAATATATATGGCTATGCTTTCTTTTCTCATAGTTGATTCCAGGCCTACAGAAGAGAAATGGGGCATGGCAGAGCCATTGAGTCCAAAGAGCTATATATTTGAAGAACTTGTCATGATAAACAAAAATCAAAGCTTTTAAAGTTATAACTCCCCAGAGTAGGAACGAGCCAAGGACACCAATACCATTACCACTGTCAAAATCTGTCCATGGCATTAAACTTTTCAATCTGCTTTGGTTTGGCAGCGTAAGGTCATTCCAATTCCCTGGGGTATCTTTCTTTCAGCGATGCTTTGGCTCTTCGTGAGTGATTTACTTGATTGGCATTTATATATTCTGCTGCTTAAAATCATTCACATGACTAGCATCCTTCAGAATATAAACAGAGAGATTCTAACACAGTGTTTCACAAACCACATCCATTCTTACATGTGTTTTCTCCTGCTGATTGAAATGGGTCTAATCTAAACAAATTGAGGTCTCTCTTTTCTCATCCATATGTATGTTTCATGCCTGTCAAAGGTATATTACTGCAAAGTGTGAATAATCATGTTTAGCCTCCTTTATTATGCTCAGTTGGAAAACACTTATTTTCTTTTCAAAATATTTTCATATAAAACATAGGAATTGAAGATCAACAACTGAAGTTTCTTCTGAAACTGAAGAAACAGATATTTACAGAGTATTACTTATCAGTTAAATGATTACTTCAACTGGGTTCAAATTGACTTTTGCCATCATTTTTTGCTTTTTTTAAAAAAATGTAAGATATATTCTTTCTCGCTAGGGAGCGATCATTTCTAAAAGTAAGAATTTTTTCAATTATGAGCATTGAATTAACAGTGTATCTCAAATTTGATATATTAGAGAAACAGCATTTTTATGAAATGAAGCTTTTCTTGGTAATCATTTTACAGTTGTTTTACTATGTAGTTTTTAATCTGTCAAAATATTTTAAAAGCATGTGTACATATTTTTGCATAATTTGGCAAACTTGTGCCATATAAGAAATTGGCAGTGCATGATAGTAAAAATGCTATTCTTTGGATTTATTCTAATTGACCTACTTTTAAAATCTTTTTAGCAAAATACTTGAAGCATCTTAATTTGGTTGCTGGTAATTTAGAAGGAGAAAATATTTTTAAGAGAAATATATTCTAGGGAAAATCATCTTAATCAACTACCAGACAATATGGTATGGGCATAAGCAAAAAAACCCATTGACTTCTATTCAAGGGATGACCAGATGTCCAATATAAATGAACAGCTATATAATTCCCAGTGCAGTCAGATATTCATTAAAAAATACTTAGAAGCTACTATCTAACTAGGTCCTCTTCCAGGGATTTGGGATACATCAACGAACAAGAGAGATAAATATCCTTGCATATCTGAAACTTGCATTCTAACAGTGTAAGATAGGAACTAGCCATTATGTATTTTTTTTAAAAAAGTGATAATTGATAAGTGTTACTGAAAAGGGGCCCTGATCCAGACCCCAACAGAGGGTTCTTGGATTTCACACAAGAAAGAATTCGTGGTGAGTCCACAGAGTAAAGTGAAAGCAAGTTTACTAAGAAAGTAAAGGAATAAAAGAATGGCTACTCCATAAGTAGAGCAGCCCTGAGGGCTGATGGTTGCTTGTTTTTATATTATTTTCTTGATTATATACTAAACAAGGGGTAGATTATTCAGATTATTCATGCCTCCCCTTTACAGACCATATAGGGTAACTTCCTGATCTTGCCATGGCATTTGTAAACTGTCCTGGTGCTGGTGGAAGTGTAGCAGTGAGGACAACCAGAGGTCACTCTCCTCGCCATCTTGGTTTTGGTGGGTTTTGGCTGACTTCTTTACTGCAGTCTGTTTTATCAGCAAGGTCTTTATGACCTGTATCTTGTGCTGACCTCCTATCTCATCCTGTGACTTAGAATGCCTAACTATCTGGGGATGCAGCCCAGTAGGTCTCGGCCTTATTTTACCCAGCCCCTACTCAAGATGGAGTTGCTGTGGTTCAAAGGCCTCTGACATAAGGAAAAAACAAGTGAAACACAGAGTGTTGACCACAAATGCTTGGAATGTGTGTGTGTGTGTGCGTGTGTGTGTGTGTGCGTGTGTGTGTATGTGTATGTGTATGTGTATGTGTATGTGTATGTGTGTTGGGAGGCTGGATATTTGCAATTTTAAATAGGGTCATCAAACATTCACCCATTGAAAAAGTAAGAGTTCAGAAAAGATTTAGAAGAGGTAAAGGAATTGTCACTGTGTGTATCTATGAAAAGCACAGCAGGAACACACCTAACAAATCCACAGAACATCTACGAGGCTAGTGTGCCTGTCATGGAGAAAGTGAAGGGAGATTAACAGAGGATGAACTCAGAGAAGTAACAAGAACTGATCACGTGGGGCTTTCGGGGCCATTGTCAGGAGTTTGACTCTTAGCCTGAATGAAATGTGGATTAGTTGCACGGTGATGAGCAAAGGAATGACATGATCAGACCAACATTTTAACCAGCCCCTTTGGCTGCTGTGTTCAGAATAGAATGTCGGGGCCAAAGTGAAAGCAGAGACATTGTTATGCGGTGAGATGAAAATGTTTACACAGCAGGTCTGCGATGAAATGATGAATTAATTCCCTTTCGCAAGGCAGTGCTCCTGGGAAACAAACACATTCAGTGAGAAGTCTAATCTCCTATTAAACATTGTCATGTTTAATGACAGACCTCCTGGCAATTAAACTACATGGTTTGTGCTAGTGAGAGACAAGACTAGCTGGATTTCCTAGGCTGACTAAGAATCCCTAAGCCTAGCTGGGAAGGTGACCACATCCACCTTTAAACACGGGGCTTGCAACTGAGCTCACAGCTGTCCAATCAGAGAGCTCACTAAATGCTAATTTGGCAAAAACAGGAGGTAAAGAAATAGCCAATCATCTATTGCCTGAGAGCACAGTGGGAGGGACAAGGATCGGGATATAAACCCAGGCATTTGAGCAGGCAAAGGCAACCCCCTTGGGGTCCCCTCCTTGTATAGGAGCTCTGTTTTCACTCTATTTCACTCTATTAAATCTTGCAACTGCACTCTTCTGGTCCGTGTTTGTTACGGCTTGAGCTGAGCTTTCACTCGCTGTCCACCACTGCTGTTTTGCCGCCGTTAGGGACCCTCCGCTGACTTCCATCCCTCAGGATCCAGCAGGGTGCCTGCTGTGCTCCTGATTCAGCGAGGCGCCCACTGTCGCTCCCCATCGGGTTAAAGTCTTGCCATTGTTCCTGCACAGCTAAGTGCTTGGGTTCGTCCTAATTGAGCTGAACACTAGTCACTGGGTTCCACAGTTCTCTTCTGTGACCCACGACTTCTAATAGAGCTATAACACTCACTGCATGGCCCAAGATTCCATTCCTTGGAATCTTGAGGCCAAGAACCCCAAGTCAGAGAACATGAGGCTTGCCACCATCTTGGAAGTGGCCTGCCGCCATTTTGGAAGTGGCCCACCACCATCTTGGGAGCTCTGGGAGCAAGGACCCCTGGTAACACTAGGAGGAGATTACTATGAAAAGTTTTGGGCAGGATGTACTTGCTTCTTCTGTAATTGCTTCTGGTAAATAAACCTGGAATCTACAGATTCATGGGACATACTTCCTGATTAACATAATGTGAATTATGTAACTATATGAGTATGAAATTGTGATGTTCTATAATCTAAATGGCTTTTTCTTTGTAAGTGAGGTGACCATGTACTTTATTAGAAGTCTCATCTATTACTTGAAAGACATAACGGTGAGATGAAAAAATGACCTAGGGAGTCATACTGGTTGTCATGGAATTCTTCCTGCTTCACCTGTATTATGCATTTATATGTACCCTTGAAATTATTAATAAGCTCAGTACTGGATCAAATTTCTAATTCTTGGGAATCTCATTGACAGTGTGATCCTGGGTGTTGTTACAAATGGCAATACTTCAGGCAAGAGACAATGGTGTCTCATGTCAGGATAATTCTAACAAAGATGGTGGAAATGTTCAAATTATGAATATTTGGGGCAGTATTCTACCCATGGCATGGGTGTAGCATGTAAAATAAAAAGAAAATTCAAGAACAACTTAAAAAATTTTGGTCTGAATGGTTGTGAATGTCAACTGAAGTGGGTAAGACTACAAATAGATGGGTGTGTGTGAGTTCATGGATTGAAGGTGCAGTTTTGTGCATGCCAAGTTTGAGATG
Source organism: Homo sapiens (assembly GCF_000001405.40). Classification (NCBI taxonomy): domain Eukaryota; kingdom Metazoa; phylum Chordata; class Mammalia; order Primates; family Hominidae; genus Homo; species Homo sapiens. The sequence continues at coordinate 1,884,010 of NW_025791777.1, read as the reverse complement.
CATTTTAGACATCCAAGTGGTAAATATTGATACATGATTCTTTGTGTTATGTCCATGCAATATACAGGAATGGAGGGAGTCTGGGCTGGAAATATGTATTTGGAAGTTGTCATCATATTGAGGATATCGAAAGTCCTGACATTGGACGAGAAGTCCAACCAAATGTATATAAACAGGATAAACGAGGGCCGAAGACTGAACCTTGAGATGCAACATTAAAACGTCAGGGGGGGCCGGGCGCGGTGGCTCACGCCTGTAATCCCAGCACTTCGAGAGGCCGAGGTGGGCGGATCACGAGGTCAGGAGATGGAGATGGTGAAACCCCGTCTCTACTAAAAATACAAAAAATTAGCCGGGAGCGGTGGGGGGCGCCTGTAGTCCCAGCTACTCAGGAGGCTGAGGCAGGAGAATGGCATGAACCCGGGAGGCGGAGCTTGCAGTGAGCAGAGATCGCGCCACTGCAGTCCTGCCTGGGCGAAAGAGCGAGACTCTGTCTCAAAAAAAAAAAAAAGTCAGAGGGAAGAGGAAGAACCAACAAAAGAGACTGCGGAGGAATAGCCTGCATTATAGGGTGTATTGAGAGCTAGGTAAGGGAAAATAAAATATTCCATGATGTCGGAGCCCCAGCTAAATTATGGGTCCAGTACTAGAGCAGCTGACAAACCTGCACTAAGGGCAAATGATGAGGAGTTGGATGTGGGTGTATACAAACTTTATTTGTAAGTTTATTACAAATAAACTTAATATATGCATGATGTTATTTTTAAAAATAAACACATCATACCTGCGACCAGGGAAAACTTACACTGGCAAGCCACCTGTGATTCTTGTCTGACCTGTGTCTGGTTTATGCCTGCCTGGTCAACACTTTGGCATTGGGAGCTTGACCTTTTATTCTCCCCAGTGTTCCAGGGAAAACCCAACCTGAGGCAGCTCCTGATTCTTCAGATGGAAAGTGCAAATTTAATGTAACACCAAAATAAGGAACAAGTTCAAGGACTTTTCCTTGCAGACTCCAGGATCCAAGTAAGGGTGTGTGGGAGGGTATAATGAGTCTGGAGGGCAGTTCTTTATCCTGGAGTCATGGCAGGCAGAAATGAAGAGTCAGACAAAGAGAGAGAAACGGGTGGCAACTAGCACACTGTATAAAGATTAGGGTGTGGGCCTTCAAAGTTCAGAGCAAATGACTGAATGGTCCCTTTAAAGAAAGGGGCAAGAAAGCAGTGTTCAGTCTGCTAGGCAGAAGAGATGCCTCTAAATTTTTATATATGACCACCAGTTTCAGCCCTTTGGGTATGCTGTAGGATGAAAAACTGTGTAAAGGGTGACTGAGCCCTGCTTCTAGTATGAGAAAGCAATACTAGTATTCAAAATGGATGCTGAAGCAACATAAACTGATAAGAAGTCATTATACAGACATTGCTGGGAACTGAATGTTGTAGTGACTTCGACAAGACCAGTTTAATGAAAGATTAATCCCCCATTCTATAATAAACATATGAGTCTTTACAAATAAATGTAATAAAGTTATTATGCATGTTATTTTTTAAATATATATTTCTCTAGTATCTCAGATTTCAGAAAGCTCAAATATAAAGTGAATTCCCAACTGCAGTTAACCACACTTGAGGTGTTTGGATTTTTTTCTTTTCCCCCCTCCCTCTCTCTCTTCTTCCTTCCCCATCTTTTTTCCTTCTTTCCTTCCTTCCTTTTGAGAGGTTCTCGTTCTGTCATCCAGGCTGGAATTCAATGGCACAATTATAGCTTGCTGCAATCTTGAACTCCTGAGCTCATCCAGTCTTCCCACCTCCGCCTCTTACATGCACGTGCAACCATGTCTGGCAATTTATTATTATTATTATTATTATTATTATTATGATACAGACAGGGTCTTGCTATGTTGTCCAAGCAGGTCTCGAACTCCTGAGCTTGAGTGATCCTCCCATTACAGCCTCCAAAGTGCTGGGATTACAGGTGTGAGCTAACATGCCCAGCCAGATATTTTTCTTTAGGTTGTTTCTGATTATTCTTGCAATATGATATTCTCTTTTAAGTGTTTTAGTATTTTAAATTTCCAGAGTTAGCTCATTTTTTCATAAGGATTCTTAAATCATCTAAAATTTTTATCTTTAATTTTCAGAACACAGGACCGAAGAGGAGAGGTGAAACAAAAAGGTTTAGGGGAACTCCATAACATAGTGTTGACAAAGAGCTCACTGGGGTTAGCAATCATAGTTAAGATATAAGAAATGAGAAGAGAGAGGATGAGAATAGTGAAGCTTCTATGACAGCTGAATTCTATACACTTTTATATCTTCCCCTTAAATTATGGAATGAAAGCTTCAGGATTTGGGCAAGGTCACAGAGCGTGTGCATTCCAAGGGTCATGAGTGTTAAATGAGGGCCAGGCAGAGACTCCGTGCAGAGCCATGCATGACTTTCCCAAACACAGTTGTCGAGGACCCTCTAGCATGAATCATCTTCTGCTTCTGATATTGAATATTGCCATGATCTAAATGTTTGCTTTTCCCCCAAACTTGTATGTTGAAAACTAACCCCTGTGGTGATGGTATTTGGAGGTAGGGTCTTTTAGGAGCTGATTAGTCATGAGGGTGGAGCATTCATAAATAGGATTAGTGCCCTTATAATATAGGCCCAAGGGAGTTGAGCTCCTTGGTCCCTTTCACCATGTGAGAACACAGGACACAGCCAAAAGGTGTGACCTACGAAGCAGGAAAGGGGCCCTCACCGGACACTAAATCAGCCAGCACCCTGATCTTAAACTACCCAGCCTCTAGAACTGTTAAATATAAATTTATGTTGTTTATAAGCTATCCAGTATATGCTATTTTAGTTATAGCAGCCTGAATGCACTAAGATTAATATTACAATTCATTTTGGTTTGTTTCTGTGAGGTAAGGCCAATTCCCATGGACTTCTTTATCTCAGAGAATGATTTACTTGGTTCACCTCCTTTTGCTAAACAACGTTCATGTGACTACTCAATGTTCAAAAGTCTAGGAGAACCAAGGGCAGTAAATAAGAAAATACACTGAGATGTTCTGAAAATATCCAGCCACGAAGATACCACAGTGTCCCTTGGGAAACACATCTAACATATCCAAAGCAGCATGTTAATAATTTATTTTGTTTTGCTTTATCTTGTTTTTCTCTAAAAAGAAAAAAAAAAGAGAAAAGCCTTCTGTGGACATTTTTCTGCCAGACTGAATCTATTTTCAGTCTCAACTGTATGGGTCCGATGATGGATACCCTATTGAACTGAAGAGTCTTTGAGGAGTTTTGCAACTTTCTGGAACACATACCTGTTTGAGCCAGAACAGAAGAGCAACGTATATTGCAATAGATAGGTGAAGTTTTTCTAACTTTCATTGGCCTGGTACATATTTTATTTTTACTCCGTCTATTACCGTTTGTTGTCTCTAACATTACCTTAAAGAATCATACACACGCAGGCACACACATGTACATGCACGCGCGCACACACACAGACCCTTTTTGCTACTGTCTTGACTATGTCCTTGTATATAGAGCTGCCTTTTTCAGTAAGGAGTAATAATTTTGATCTTGTTAATATCTTGTTAATGAACTATTAAACTATCTAAATTATGTCATGGTAAACCTGATTCCAGTATATTTAAACTCATCCAGTTGATAACGCTGTAACAAAGTTTATGAATTTAAGCTAAATAGATAAGCCATTTGTCTACAAGGTAAACACCGAAGTGAGTTTTTGCTGTGGTAGTTGTTGAGTATTTAAATATGTGCAATGCAGACAAAATGCGTCAAGATGAAAAATTTTATTTGGTGGGTAAAAAATGAGTGATAGTGTTTACCAGCAGCGATTAAGTCAGAGAGCTGCCAGAGAGGAAATTCATCTGAACCATGTAAGCTATAATTATAGATCAGAAAAGACGCAATATAATATGGTTTTATTAATATACCTGGCAGAAAAACATGCTACCACACTACAAAACATTAAAGAAAATTTTACCCATGCACCATTTTCTAATGAAAATGTGTAGGCATATCCTCATGATCTTAAGAAATTTGGAGAAAACTATTCATTTTCAACATTAAGGCAGTTGGATAAGAAGTCACCATATTAAACCAGAGTTGAAAATCAGTATTTTCTTTCTATTTCCTTCTTTGTGTACCATTGTCAACAGATCCTCTCTTGTCCTGTCTCTCTTTTGTCCTTGCTGTTGAGTGGTGTGCATTGATAGTTTCTTTCTCTTCTGCTGATTTTTTACTAGGTCTTTGTTTTGCACATTGACAGTCCTCATCTGTTTTCTCCCTCAAAATTCACCACTGCTGTAAAGTCTGCTCTGCTAAAACTATGGACCTTTTCAGGAACCTGTATATTCAAAAACATAGAGGAACCGATGCCAACAATTTAACTGTGCTCAAATTTTTAAATAATGAAGTTTTATTTTATATGCTAATTTTAAAATAATGCAAAGCTATTATGAAGAGTCACAGAATTTCAAAGCTGAAGGGACACCATTATAATTCTTGTTTTTATTATTTGTATGTAGCACTAGTACATTAGATAATATAAATGATGACCTGAGCTAATTTGTCAACATATTGTAAATCAAGCAGGTGTTCAAGTGGATCAGAACACCTGTGAGTGCTTTTGCTGATGCATAGACTTTTATTTAAACATGTATTGTCATCATGCAAAGAAAAAGTGTATTCTGTCATAATGATATAAAAGTAAGGTGTACACGGCTAATATTGGGAAGCAAGCCACCAAATACAGTGCAGCAGAGATAGGTTTAGAAATTCATTCTAAATCAAGCTGAATTACCACCGTGATATTTCTAAAGAACACCCCCATTCAGCTTTTTATTTGCTCCTGCGGGAAATTAATCTTTCATTTTGTGAGTACAAGGTCTTCATGAATGGATCCTTCGATAAAATGGAGCTGTGTTGTACCAACCTCCCAGTGGTTTTCTGGGGACTAATAGAAAATGCTTCTGCATCACTTAACAAGACAACTGACTTGTGATAAGTGCTCAGTAAATATTATCTATTTTATCATATGCAAAAATAATGAGGGGAGTGTGCATGTAAAAACACAGATACAGCCATTTTTCCTTTCCAAATGGTGTTTATCACCAATACTATTTCAGAATACTTTGCAAGATATGGTGGGCTACTGAGGCCAGGGTGATTAGTATTCAAGTTAAGTAGTACTAAGTAGCCTTTTCTAGGTTAATGTTGGTGCGTTAATAACATAACCATTTGTCTAAGGAGATTCATCCCAAATTGCAAAGAGAAAAAATATGAAATGGATATATAAAACACTTTAAAGTTGTACTCTCCCTCTATTTTATATATGAGGACCTCACGACTAGGTATGAGTACACATAGTGAATTGTAATAATACGTTCATTTACACCTAGACAATTATTTTCATGAATACAGGATGAAAATTATTACATTTGAATCTCATTATAATCTTTATCCCGGAAAAAAAAACATTGGAATAAAGTGGATTTAGACTTCGTGCCAAATATTTATTTAGATGAATTTGCAAATAGACCCATGCTTAAAAGTATGTGAGATTTAAATAAGCATATTAAAGACTTAATTATAATTAAATGCTATTGCATTCTATTTTTGATTCAAAAAGTTTTCAGCATTGCCTCCTTGGTTTTTATTTGTTTTTAACTGAGCTTACAGAACTAACTAGGAAAATATATGCCAGGCATTATTAGCATATCATAATATAAACATTTATTTGACATTCAGATCTTGTGTATTTTGAAGGGCAAAATAAAATAGAAGGGGAATTTTTTTTTCAGATTTTATGAGAGGTAAGCTAAATGTCTATCTTCTTGTATATTTTTGTTAGCAAAGAATCTGGATATCCATCTTGAGGTCATATTTGCAAATGACTTTGATGGAACACTTAAATTTCATTTGGTGAATGACAGCTCAGAAGCTTCAAATGTGCCTGGGTGTATGTTACTTTCATTTCCTGGTGTGTGCATAGGTCTGAAGAGCTATGAGAAAATATTATCATTATATGATACTCTTGCAATCCAAGAACACCTACAAAATTACTCTTCTCAGCTGAGACGTAATGAGATTCTCTTTATGACCAGGTTCAATCTTCTTTCCTCATGGAACAGGTAGAAGGAAAGAGAGAAATTGCTCAAGATGCAAATTATGTGTACTCCTGTGACCCAGGTGAACCAGACCTTACAAACTGCCTGTCAGGGAGATGTAAATTTCTTGTAAGCAGCTAGATCACTAGACTCAAAGGAAGTTATTGATTTTCCTATAGTGTCTCCAATGCAGAAATGAAAGACTTACAAGTTTGTGATGTAGATGCTTTCTAGTCTTTCTTTTGTTAAACATGTCACTTTTCACCTGTTAATACTAGAGTTCAGATAGCATAGAGACTTGTTGGAAAATACATGCTTTTCTTCCCCCTCTGGTTATAAAGAAAACAAAAAGAGCAGAGAGAAACATTCAATAGGGTCACAGTGGGTAAAATTCCAACATCCTCGCATCACTGTCTACTTTAATCAATATGCATTAACACAGGCTACATTATGCATATGTAAAAAATGCTTGCCATCTCAGTGAAAAATGGCACAGCAATTAAAATGTCAAAAGGCTAAGGAGACAATGTGAGATTAAGTGCAGTTATAATTTTATTTTAAAACATCTCAGTTCTCTGGTGCTCATTGGAGTGTTCTTTTTAAAATGATTTCAAATTTGGGAACATTAGCAAAACCCAGCCAGCTACTTAGTATCTTATGTAAAAACTGTATTTTTCAGTCACCTTCCTTCTTTAGCTAAATTAAATGACACATGTAGTCTTTTATTTTTTTCTCAATGATTTAAAGACAGCAAATATGCCATTATTTTTCTTTCTTAAGTATATGTATATACAATTTTATAAAGTATTAAAATGAGGACTCCTTAACATGTATCTTAGCATTTTTTCATCAAGTTGAGTAAGACTTTATAGGCAAACATTGTTCAATAATAAAAATTATGCTCATTAGATTTTATTTGAGAAATCTCTATTAATTCTCCTTTTCATATTTTTTCTCATTAAGATGCAATTTAAGTGTACCTCTCTTTCATTAGTAGGGCCATTTAAGCTAGGTGGTATACCTTTAATCTCTGAGAAAGCTTAGGTGATATGCTTGTCTACAGACAGAAGAAGGTTAGAAACTGACTTCTGATGAGACATGTAAAATAGAGTGTGCTCATGCACAATTCCTAGGCCATGCCACACAGTTCCCACTTTCATCATTCTTAGTGAACGCATAAGTGAAACAGGAATAGAATATTTAATGTTATCTTTTTTATATATATCAGTAAGCAAAGAAGCAAACCTGCACGGCTCCACCTCAGGGAACCCCAAGGGGTACATATGTGCAGGGACTTAACCTCCCATATCAGACTCTAAGGAAGCAGAGTAATAAGACCCTGACATGCTACTGGCTGACATATAGGTTTTATTAGATTAAAAGCTCTGAAATGGCCATAAGGCAGAATGAGTCGTTGCATATTTTCTGCTTCTAGAAGGCATAGAATTCTAGTCCATAAACCAAGTGCATGCAGCTCATGTCTGTAAATCTTTTTTACATCAGTGTTGCCTGTGTTTCTTCCTATTGTTTAGGAATATATTTCCTTAAACATATGACTTATGCTAATACAGTATTTCTGATTCAATATCAACTATTTCTGTTCTGTATAAAAATAACTTTATTTATAAAATATTTTTAAGTACTTTAAAACATATATGGTCAATGATCTATTCCAATAACCCAAAGTCTGCACATAATAAATCATTCCAGAAAAAATTACTATATTTCTCTAACATATAGACTAGGCTTAATTGTTCTTCTTTATCTAATATTGTAATTAGGTGGTAGCATGATTAAAAGATCTTTATATCTGCTTAAAACCCTAAATTTCTAACTATGTTTCCTAACATTTTAAATACAATTACAATTTTTATTTTTTTAGATGTTGAGATATTGACGGTTCTTAGCTCTCCAATTATATGCCAGCTCTCCTTGAACATGGAATAATCAATAGTCTAAGTTGGCCCCAAAGATTACCCCTCCAGCAATAGTTTCGCTTCTACATAATTCCAGGGCATGTCACTATAATAGATTTTACTCTCATTATTTGGTCATGTTACATAGCACACTTGACCTTAAAATAGAGCACAATTTAATCACATGAGCCTTTCTATAAGCAGAGAGTTTGTCTAGTTGAAAGCAGAAGGGAAATCAGATAAATCTGAGGTGTGATATGGATTCAATATGAGGGCAGTTCTTTATTACAGAAACGGAAGGGGCCTGTGGCATAACCTGATAGCAGCCTGGAGGAGGTGAGGTCACTCCCAGCTGACAGATAGTGAGGCAAGAGGGACCTCAATCTTACAACCACAAGGAAACAAATGCTGCCAACACTCTGAGGGGCCTTTGAGCCGATCTTTTTGTAGTCAGGCCTCCAGATGACGATGCAGTTGGCCAGCACCCTGACAGCCTTATGAGACCCTGAGAAGAGGACTTGGCCAAAATGTGGCAGGCTCCCGACCAACAGAAATTGTGCAATAATAAATCTGTGTTAAGTGGCTAAATTTGTGGCAATGCAATAGACAGAAAAATACAGTGCTATGTGGATTAAGGAAGTTCAGTGGAAGGTATTGTATTTTGAAATTTCTAAGCAATTTTTATTTTATTTTTGATATTATTATTATTATTTTTGAGATGGAGTCTTGCTCTGTCGCCCAGGCTGGAGCGCAGTGGCATGATCTCGGCACACTGCAACCTCTGCCTCCCGGGTTCAAGCGATTCTCCTGCCTCAGCCTCCTGAGTAGCTGGGATTGCAGGCAGGCACCACCACACCCATCTAATTTTACACATATACATATATAGTGTATATATACACATATATATGTACACATATATATATACACATATGTATATATGTATATGTGTATATATACACTATATATGTATATGTATGTGTGTGTGTGTGTGTAAACTGGGGTTGGGGAAATGGAGAGATGTTGGTCAAGGGATAGAAATTTTCAATTATGCAGAAAAAGTAATTTCTGGGGACCTAACGTAGAGCATGGTGACTATAGTTAGTAATACTATATTGTATAATTGAAATCAGCTTAGAGAGTAGGTCTTAAATGTTCTCACTACACAAAGAGATAATTACGAGAGGTGATGTATATGTTAACTAGCTTGATTGTGGTAATCATTTCATAATATATACATATATCAAAACATCACAGTGTACAGCATACATAAATATATTCAATTTTTTTGTCATTACACCTCATTAAAGCTGAACAGAAAAGCATCACTGATAAATTTCTAAAATAATAATGATAATTGGCCAGACGAGATGGCTCACGCCTGTAATACATATATACATATATACATATATATCTGTGCATGTATGTGTGTATATATACACATATACACAGATATATACATATATATGTTTGTGTGTGGGTGTGTGTGTGTGTATATATATATATATACACACACACACATATATGTATATATATATAATCTTTTCTTTATCCAGTCATCTGTTGGCAGACATTTAGGTTGATTTCATATCTTGGCCCCTGTGAATAATGTTGCAATGAACATGTTTTACTTAAAAATACTCATGAATGTATATATTGAACTTTCACTATGTACCAGGCATTAGGTTCCTATTTACATCAAGTTTCTCATTTGGTCTTTAAAAATACAGTGAGAGATAATACTACTGTAACTCCCACTTTACAGATAAAGAAACTGAGGCTTACAGAGCTTAAGGAATTTCCTCTGGGTGAAAATGGTTACTAAGTTTCAAATCCAAAATACAAAACCAAGCAGTTGGATTGCAGAGCTTATATGTTTACCTCTCCCTTCAGGGTTTCATAGAGCCTCAGAGCATGGGTGACCCAGTTCCAAACTCTAATAGAAAAACAAGCAATGTGGTTAAGACCCTAGATAATACATGGGAAATCAGTGAGTGGAGTAGGAACATCACACGGGATGGGAGGGGGGTCTTAAAAATGCATCAAAATCAGCACACCTTCTAAACCAGCATTTGCAATTTATAAAGAATTTTAGGTAATTCATCTGCACATTGAAGTTTAATTTGGGAATATAGATTGGTGCAGCCACTGTGGAAAACAGTATGGAGGTTTCTGAAAAAAAAAAAAAGAAAAGAAAAGAAAAAAACGAAAAGAAAAGAACTATCGTATGACCCAGCACTTTCTCTTCTGGGTATATATATCCAGAGAAAAATAAATCACCACCCTGTAAAAATATCGGTGCTCCAATGTTCACTGGAGCATCGTCCTCAATAGCTCAAGTACAGAAACAATTGAAGCATCCATCAAGAAGTGGATGGGTAAATAAATTGTGGCATATGTACACAACAGAAAACTATTAAACCTTAAAAAAGGACATGAACCTAGGGGGTTGCACATGGATGAACCTAGAGGACGTTATGTTAAGTGAAATAAGCTAGGAACAGAGAGACAAATGCCACAAGATCTCACTCTTGAAAGCTGATATCCTAGAAGTAGAGAGAGGAGAACAGTGGTTTCCAAGGGTAGGGATATTTGAGGAGTGAGTAGGGTGAGGAGACGTTGGTCCAAGGATACAAAATTTCAATTATATAGGAGGAATACTTGAAGAGATCCGTTTTACAACATGGTGACTATAGTTAGTAATATATTGTATTCTTGGAAAATGTTGAGAGTGGATATTAACTGTTCTCACCACAAAAGTAAATATGTGAGACAATACCTATGTTAATTAGCTGGATTTAGTCATTCCAGAATGTATACATGTTTCAAAATTTCATGTTGTACGTGGTAAATACATAAAATTTTATCTGCCAATTTTTAACAATTGAACACATGTAATCATTATCCTAAGAATTCCAGAAAGGTGAATATGAATTTCTTGTTTGATGATACGGCCTCAGGCAAATCATTTCATCTGTCTTCCTGACAGTTTCACACTTCTATAAAACAGAGATAAATTATCAATTTTTAAAAAGAATTTAATTATGCCTAATGTTCAGCATATTGTCTGCCACAACATAATTAATAAACAATAAGTCGTTTTAGTTTTGTTTTTTGTTGTCGTTGTCATTGTTGTTTTTTAATGATGGAGGTAAACCAAGGAGGGTGGGGGTTTTAAAACCGCTTAGTTTTTCCTTCTCTCTGGAGCCCAGCAGTGGCTTCATGAGACCAAGTGTCTACTTTGCGGATCCAGTCTCCTGGTAGTACGGATGGGCTATAGAGGAATTCCAGAACGAGGTGGGAAAGGCTTAGCAGGCCCACAGCTCCGTGAGCTGTTATCATGAAATAGCAGCTTGGAGCTGGAGTTAGCTATGGGCTTACCTTTCCCCCTGAGAACCGAACTGCACTGATAACGTGAAATCGTACCATTTCTCAACATGTGAAGGGCGTCTCTTTACATTCTCAAAGCCTTGAGTCATAACTATCTGTTTTCAAAAGTTGACATTATCAGATCAGTTACTGTGAAAACCAGAAACGTTTTATTTTAGTCTTTTTATGTGAGTAAAAGATACAATAAAATCTTGGTAATTAAATATATTTACTTAACTGTTTTCACTTATACTCCTTTAAAAAGCGATTTTTTTAAAAGCCTGAATCATTGCTTCTCTGTATATTTAATCTTCAGTCTTGGAATTGCTTCTGAGGGGAAAATTACTTTTAAAATAATTTTCTTTGCAGTTAGGAAAATGAGGACCTATAGTCCTAACATGCTCTTAATTTGGGAATTACTTGTTTCACTGCTCAGAGAACAAAATTATTGGCAGTGGAAAAATTGCACACAAAACAAAGAGTTAACCCCTTTGGTGATTTAATCTCTTGAGGAAGGATTTCAGCCGGGTACAAAAACTGATAAGATATTTATCAACAAGTCACAGAATGGCTTATCAACTTGATCCTTTGATTGTTTATAAATACTATCATAAGCCTATTAAGTTCTAAGCTGGTATTTCCCAAAGTGAGTTCCTTTACTTAATAATGCCTCCTTCTTACAGCTTATTACACTTTTTTAATAGTTAGTCCCAGGAATTTCCATTTATTCTAATTTCATCAGTTTAAAGGCAGTAAAGTGTTCACGAACAAAGTTTCAGTATCAGGCTGCATGTATTTGAATCCGGAATCTACCACTCAAAGGCTGTGTGACCTTGGACAAGCCATTTAACCTCCCTGTGCCTTGGTTTCCACATGAGTAAAATGGGTGTGGTAGACTCATGGCAGGTAGAATTAAATGGATTAATTAATGTAAGGCACTGATGTACAAAAAGTGCGTAAAACACCTTAAGGATTTATGTAAGCTGCTAAATCTCACTTCTTAACTAAACAGTTCTTTTCATCCCCTCAGCTAAGGCCAAGACTACTCCGTGAGGTTGTGCAATGTGTGTGCTGCACAATAGTGCCTTGTGGAGGGAGCCGGAGAGTCTAAAATTCCTTCTCTGCCACCATCACCAAGCCATGTGCTCTTAAGCTTGACCTGTTAACAGCTGGTCTGTTTTTCTGATTTGTCCACCTAGAGGGGATATCTTTTTTTCTAACCAAGGTACTAGTAAAGGTATACCATATTAGAATATCTAAGCACAGGTCTGTCTGGCCCAGTGCTTATGACTGATAAGATTTGGGGCATTACCTATTAACAAAAACATCTGATTCCATTTCTTTTGGCCACCCCAGATCTAGGAGCAATCTCAGTTTTTCTGTTCTTAAGTATTTGTAAAGCTACAGTTTTATCTGATAGCCAAATGTTCAGCTTAGCTATACATAAATTCTTATGTTTCATATATATATATATATATGTGTGTGTGTGTGTGTTCTATATATATACATATATATGTTCTATATATACATAAATGTTCTCTCTATATATATACATATATATAATTACATTTGCTGTTCATTGCTAGTTATTGAGTACCGAACGAATAGTAGGCTGCAAAACCATAAGGATATTATATTATGCACTTGATTCTGAGGGCTTTGCATTCTTTTCAGAAGCCAGGTACAGTACGTTTAAAATAGTGAAACAAATTAGACATTAAATATGTAGCAAATATTAACTCACTTTGTGAATAATTAATGATAATTGTCATATTAAAAAGTGTTAGCAGACAAGGAAGACAAACATTTCACAAAAGAATGGAAAGGGAAAAACCAAAACTTTTCTACAGAATATTCATACCTGAGTGGATGTCGATGTAAATGTAATATAGAATTAAAGCTATTTCCAAGGTTTTAAATCAAGGATCATTGAAACCATGTACTAATGTGTACGTACTTGAATGAAACATTTATTGAATCAATTAATTTATGAGTGAAATATTTTATTTTATTATTTATTATTATTTTTTGAAACTTGCTCTGTCACCCAGGCTGGAGTGCAGTCATATGATCTTGGCTCATTGCAACCTCTGCCTTCCAGGTTCAAGTAATTCTCTGCCTCAGCCTCCCGAGAATCTGGGATTACAGGCACCTGCCACCATGCCTGGCTAATTTTTGTATTTTTAGTGGAGACAGGGTTTCACCATCTTGGCCAGGCTGGTCTTGAACTCCTGACCTTGTGATCCACCCGGACGTGGTGGCTCACGCCTGTAATCCCAACACTTTGGGAGGCCAAGGCAAGTGAAATATTTTAAACATGAGTCAAAGTTTTTCTGTTTACTTATTACTGACTTGAAGTCTGTTGAGGTTGGAGATTAGATCATTCATGTAGGATGTATAGAGACTCTACTGAAACTCAGGTGAGATCTTTCTAGAGGTTCAGAAGCAGAAGAAACAGAATAGAACTAATCAGGGAAAGCATTGCTTATTCTGCATTGACTGAGTACTTATACAATTTGGGAGATTTTCTTAAGATTCTTGCTAAGGATGGCTTGAGATTGGGTCTAGAAAAACATATAGGACAACTCAAGCAAAATAAATTGAAGAATTACGGTAAAGACCATGGCAGGCCTTTAAAAGAGAGTCACCCAGTAAAGCAGTAGGATGTAGTTTAGTGCTGTATACTGTAAAATTGAGCATGCAATTTGGAATTACACATTTTAGTGGGTAGACTTGTGTCCCTCAAGAATATATGTTCACATTCTAATCCTTGGTACTTATGAATGTGACCCTTTTTAGAAATAGGGTCTTTTGAGATGTAATCAAGTTAAAATGAAGTCCTACTTAGTTAAGGTGGGAGCTAAATTCAATGATTAGTATCTTTTGTTTATTTATTTTTTGAGACGGAGTCTTGCTTGTCACCCAGGCTGGAGTGCAGTGACAAGATCTTGGCTCACTGCAACCTCTGCCTCCTGGGTTCAAGCCATTCTCCTGCCTCAGCCTCCCCAGTAGCTGGGATTGTAGGTGTGCACCACCACACTCAGCTAATTTTTGTATTTTTAGTGAGACGGGGTTTCACCATGTTGGCCAGTTTGGTCTTAAACTCCTGACCTCATGTTCCGCATGCCTCGGCCTCCCAAAGTGCTGGGATTACAGGCGTGAGCCACCATGCCCAGCCAGTGGTTAGTATCTTTAAAAGAGAAAGGAGAGGAATATTTGAATACAAAGATGCAGGGGAGTTATACAAGAAAGAAGGCCATTCAATGACAGAGTTGGAGATTGGATTGATACAACTAATCAAGAAATCAAGGAATGCCAAGGAGTGACAAGAACCACCAGAAGCTAGGAAAGAGGAATAAGACAGGTTTTTCCTGAGAGGCTCCAGAAGGAACCAACTCTGCTGCTTTCTGACTTCTGGCCCAAACTGTGAGAAAACAGATTTCTGGCCTTCTGAACTGTAAAAAAAATCAATTTCTGTTATTTTAAGATGCCAAGTTTGTGCAAATTTGCTATGGCAGCCTTAGAAAATTAATATAGATCTCTTCAAATGCATTCCCACCTCTGCTATGTGATACTAGTTACTTCTCAAAATCTTCATTGGCCATTTAATTAAAATAAACTAAAATCCATAACTTTAGTGAAGGAATGTGGACAGTAGCAACATATAATGCACAACTCAGAAAACTGTGAAGATTACATGAGACAATGTAGACAAAGTACTTAGAGTGATTTTGGAAATGCAACAAATACTTAATAAATAGTAGCTTTTAGTTTTAGAGGGAGCAGTTGGGACATATGGATGAGACTCAGAGGTGTATGAAATTGGCATAGAAAGAACAAACAAGCATCAAAATCCCCATCACAGGAAAAAAGTCTTTAAGTACTTAATAGATTTGTAGGTGGTCGTGAAGAAAAGGGGCACTGTACAGGAACACAGTCCTAAAGTAGCTGGTATACTGCTTAGGAAATCAAAGAGCAGAAAAATAACATGGTTTGTGTACTTTAGGATGGAAACCACTGGTGTGAGATAGCAAGGATGGAAAAGCAAAAATCAGCCAACTCTGAGATTGTGCACAGATTTACTGACCACTACCAGATGAATACAATATCTGATAATGATACAGCTTGGCTGTGTCCCCACCCAAATCTTATCTCGAATTGTAGCTCCCATAATTCCACATCTTGTGGGAGGGAACTGGTGGGAGATAATTGAATTATGGGGGACAGTTTTCCCCATACTGTTCTTGTGGTAGTGAATAAGTCTCAGGAGATCTGATGATTTTATAAGAGATTTCCCCTTTCTCTTGACTCTCATTGCCTTTGCCTGCCACCATGTAAGATGTGCCTTTTGCCTTCTGCCATGATTGTGAGGCCTCCCCAACCACATGGAACTATGAGTCCATTAAACCTCTTTTTTTTTTTTTTTTTTTAAGATAAATTACCCAGTCTCAGGTATGACTTAATCAGCAGCATGAAAATGGACTGATACAGATACTTTTCAAAAAGATTAGGGATTAATTAATTACCAATACCTACTCTTGGAGATATGATTTTCTTTTTTCTTGATAGGGCAAATCCAGTGGATTCCAATTGTTCTTTATAGAGAAAATGTGACTTCTGTCAACTCCACTTAATTAAGAGTTTACCTTGGATTTTAATGTTGGGAGCGGGCAGAGAAAAAAAGAACAAACATCCTCCAAAGGGAACAAGAATGCATTATAAACTGAGTGAAAAGTCAGAGACAAATGCCCAATGTGATCCTCGAGATAAAAACGAAAATGGCCATTGGTGATCAAATGGCATTAGTTCACTAAGAAAATGGTCCTGGAAATTAATTTTGCTAAAATGTCTTTGATGAAAGCAAAGTAAGTACAGAATGAGAAAAACAAAGAGTTGGAGAATAAGATATTAATTGTCACAGTAGATACATTTCTGGAAATCTGACTGGATGAACAAAGTTAAATTTCCATAAGAACATACTTCAGGAAGTAATATCACAAAGATGTGTCTGTATATACATTTATAATATATGTCCATTTGCAATAAACAATATGTCTGAAGCTTCCTGAAGGTAATGGCTAAGCTGATCCTATTTCATGTGGTCTTATCTTGTTTAGCAGGTGGAAATAGACAATACATAGTCATTCAGCAGGCTGTTGTTTTCATATGATACAAAGTAAAGTTGATATAACTGTTTAGATGGAACAATCACAGCATGGCTTACTTTAAGAGAAAACCCAAGCTTCCCGAGTTTAGTATATGATTTATTTTTTCTTCATCTATATTAAGCAATAGTAAAACTAAGCCTTGATAGGGGGACACTTCCAATGTTTTACATTTTAGTTGAATTAAAAGATATCTCCTTTTCCAAAAATAAGACCTATAAATGATTTGTTTTCTAGGTAACTAGTGTACAATGCCCCTTCCCTCTGTTTGGTAGCTAAAGGTCTACAGTTATGAGAAAATGGAATAACATAATGGGGTAGAGGCCATAAAATATTTTAAACACATTACCAAGTTATTTTTTCTATCTTCTATTTTTAACGTATACAAAACATTTATTCATTTTGTGTTAACAACTTTGTTATTTATTCAGTCTGTTGTTAAATGGTATGAATATTTGAAAATTTAATCCTGATTGATACAAGGAGGAACATAAAAATATCTATAACAAAAATGTTTTCATGACCCCATTGTTAAAAGATTAACCTTTTTTAAGGCCATGTTATGGGGACTTTTACTTGAGTGCTTACTATAAAGTGTTTTAGATGTATTTCATTTATATTATTGCAAGGATTAAAATTAAATATGCTGTAAGTGGGAAAATTTGTATTATGATGGCCACTAAGAGTATTTAAAAGCATTATAAGTTGTCACACACCTCATTAACTAATATTGATTAGAATTTCGGAGTTAAAAATGTTGCTCATTTTACAGGTCATTACAATCAAGTGCTTACAGCCACCAAAATCATATTTTGGTAAAGTGTGTATTGCATAACCCAGGCACATTTTCATGCTAGAAAAATGTTTAAATGATATGCGTTGCTTTGTATGCTGGAAAGATAGGCGATCATTATGGATCTATTGCAAGGCACTGAATTGGAATATATTCAGATTGAATTTCTGAGCTGTGTTGTGCATCAGAAATTTCTATATTCTCATCTCAATATTTAGACCTTCTCTTTCTCTACTCATCTGTGAAGATGATAATTCACTCCTTCATCAGTGCTCTATTTTGTACCTTCGATGTCCCTACTGTATGTCTGTCTCGAAACTATTGATTCAACAAAGTACTTTCTGCCACAGTTTATACCATTTTGGAGATGAAATACTTAACTGAATGTTCTCTTGTTCATTTAGCCACTGCTCACCGTTAACCTTGCTTTCTTCCTTTCTATATACCCATATTTCTACCTAAATGGGTTAAAAAATTGATATATTGTGTGTTTATTCTTTGGAAGAGTTAACAATTAAGATTGTAGACAAAAGCATCACAATGGGAAAAACTGCCTTATAGTTTTATTTGTGGAGAGTCAATATGAATTTGTCAAGGACCTATCAGGATCAATGTGGCAACCTAGCTCACCATCACTTTTGTGATATTTCAGTAAATAATTAAGAATCTCTTTCATGAACGAGCTGACAAATGTACTGGAAAGAACAAAGGCCTCATAAAAAGGTATCATGTGATAGAATCCTAGATCCCCCTCATTGCTAGCAGCTATACGGACTTTGATAAATATTGATAGTTTATATATTGTACACGCACACATACACAGATACATATACACAATTAGTTTCACATAATTGCATATATGTGATTTTACCACAAATGGCCGTAGCTATTTTCTCACACAATGCAACTGTCTTGACGTGGAGTTGAAGAAAACTGGATTCAAGTTTCTATGTTCCCAGAATCTCCCACCTTTTCCAAAAAGCAATTTAATTTCTGAAAACCTTAGTGTCTTCTTCTGCAAAATAATGAGAAATGCTTGTGCTTGAGTCCAACTCTAGGATTGTAGTCCCCTTTATATAATATAATCAAGTTCCTCCATCTGGGCATTCAGTTAAATTCTACAACATTGCCAAAATCTGATTTGACTCTACAGAATATGTATAGTTTATTTAACCAGATAGTAATTTAAAATTTTACAACATGCGTATTTCATGTAATATTAATAACAGTAATTTAAATTAATATTCAATACATACCGTTTGAATTTTTATAAGGTAATATTTGTTTTTAATTTTTTATTTTAATTTGTAATAAGCTCAAAATTATTACGTCAAAATGTGGAAAGATTGCCATTTTTGGTTTATAACAGATAGTAAGAAATGCTTATAAAATTCTTACCAGTTAATCTAAGCAGGTAGAGGACCAGTATTAGTTAAACTTGGATATAGGAAAGATGCCTCCACATAATGAATAAAACACACTGCACATTTTTATCCCAATTTTCTTTTTACTTTTAGTGCAAAATCTTAATTAAAATTTTGACTATGAGGCATTGACCAAGAGGCCAAAAATAATCAAAAGAGTTCAAATCTATGTGTCTTTATTGTACTTGAAGACAAAATTGTAACTAACACTGTTATGATTAGTAGTACATTAATTAAAATGGTTTAAGCTGGCAGTAATATAAATCAATGATCCTTTTCAAGTATTAGTTGGATAAAATTAACATTAACTCAATTCTGCTTATTTCCTGGAAGTATTTTAAACTTTAACCAATAGATATGACTTTTAAAATTTACCGTTTTTCAAATCTTAGAAGCTAATTATATTTCTAAACAGTTAGTGGATAAATTAAGAAAAGAACAACTTATATTTCTAGGGAAAATTATTTTCTAAAATTTGCACTTACTTGAGTAGATAAAAGGACTGACTTTCAGAGATCACAATCACAGATTTATGTTTTGGTAGAAGTGGTCTGAGAATACTGGTAAAAATATACAGATGTTAGAGTATAACAGAATGAATAATCAGTACGTCAATAAACATTCTGAGAATCTGCAGTTTACTGGTTGACTGCACTCTCCTTGACAAAGGTCTTTTTTTTTTTTTTAAGTGACAGTATGACTTGTCATTTATTTCAATGAAAATTTAAATGTTTCTTACAAATCCTCTGAAAATAAAACCGATATTTTTACAAACAGAAGTATATGCAAACAGTCACAATATGCATTAGGACACTGACGCTATTTCTTACATGCCAAGTCGTTCTTCCATTCTGGAGAACACCTCTTATCTGAAAGATTTTTTTTCTTCTACTATAAATTTGAATCTAAGTTATTTTTAAAGAGTCAAAAACAGTGCAGAGCATTTTTGAACTGATAAACAAGAATATAGGCTGGACTCAGTGGTGCACGCCTGTAATCCCAGCACTTTGGGAAGCCAAGGCAGGTGGATCACAGGGTCAGGAGTTCCAGACCAACTTGACCAAGATGGTGAAACCTTGCCTCTACTAAAAATACAAAAACCAGCCAGGCATGGTGGTGGGCACCTGTAATCCCAGCTATTCATGAGGCTGAGGCAGGGAATTGCTTGAACCCGGGAGGCAGAGGTTTCAGTGAGCCGAGATCGTGCCATTGCACTCCAGCCTGGGCAACAGAGTGAGACTCCATCTCAAAAAAAAAAAAAAAAGAATATTATACATTTGTATTATAGTTCCACTCCAAATACGATAGCTAAAAGACAAATCAACCTTCTCTTTACAGAACACAGGCTCCAAACATAAATTTTTGTCTTATATGTTTTAGGTTTATGTATATATAAAACCATTCACCAAAGACATGCTTAATTTTTGAGATTAAGGTGTAAATTATGATGCCTTATTTTGGTCTAGAGTGTATGTAAGGTTAGTATGTTAAGCATTGTTCAAAAATACTAGTAAGTCAAAATTATACAGCATTTTCACAAAGTTCAATGCACAGAAAAAGCCTATGATTTTGGTTACTGATCTATCTTAACGCTACTTTCTTTTAAAACAGACAGTTAACATAATACCCAAGTTACAGTAACATTATGGGCTTCTCCTCCCATTGGCAATTAAATGCTTTTCTTCTGAAAAGATGATATGGACCAACAGGTCCATATCAAAAAAAGAATCAGACTTGCCAGCAACGTTGGTAGACTCTTCCCAGCATACATCTGAGTGCTGAAGGAAGAAGAAAGTTTAAATTGTTTAAAGGACTATAATTATCACACAAAATTTATTAAGAAAAAAGAATAATGGATCTAGTATAACTAATTCTGAGTAAACCAAAATGATAAGAACTAATTAAACACTTCTTAATCCCACATTTTTGGCAGGTGTAATTGAGCCATGGTCCTATTTGATTTTGTTATGATTGCATCCAAATTTGCTTAAACTCAGAGTTATGTTTAATGGTAGGATGTAAGAACTGAATTTTGAAAAACTACTCACTGTCAAAATCTCTCCTTCCTATAGGAAATTTAGCTGAGTTTTCTTCATCCCCAGTTTCTCTCTTTTCTAGTGTTGATTCGGTATCCTGAACCCCATTCTCAGCTGGAAAAGCTACAGATCCTTCTAGTGCAAGATAAGGTTTTATAACCAGATTCAGTGACAGACCATGATTTAAGAAATTATGTTTTTTCTTTGTTTTTTGTGACAGCATAATCCCATTGTTCTACTACCCTAGCAGTTCCTCCCTAGACAATGAGGCCAATACCCCTTCCTCTACTTCATATAGGCTTTCTTTTTTTACTCTATACTGTAATCCTGAATGCTTTCATGCATCTCATGGCTTTCATTATCATTTCTACTTTGATAAGTCCCAAAATGATATCTTCTGTTTATATTCAACTTTAGAATGCCAGACCTGTCATCTCTAGCTGCCTATCTCAGAGGCACCTTAAATTCAACCTGTTCAAAGATCATCTTGTGCCTTAACCCAGATTCACTGCTTCTCCAATGTTCCCTGTTCCAGTTTATAGCAACACCATCCTCAGTTTCTCATTCCAAAAGCCCAGGAGTAATGTGTAAGTAATAGATTCTGGAACCAAACCACCCTATGGCCGTACAACTTTGGGCAAGTTATTTATTAACCCTTTGATTTACTTTCCTCATCGATGATGTTTGAGTAATAATAGCACCTACTTCTTATGGTTATTGTGCAAATTAAATCTACTAATACATGTGAGAAACTTAATGATTAGTACCTAGCAAGTGCATTATGAGTGTTAACTATTGCTTTTCCTCTTATATTTTTTAACTTTTATCTTCTTTGCCTCAGACCCACAATCAGTGAATCGATAAATTCTCCTATTTTTAACTCCAAAATATTTTTCAATTCTATTCTGTTTGTTTTCACCATCTTGGCCAAGTCCACCATCATGTTCTAATTGCAGATCTACTCATATTGCTGCCTTGCTTATGGCTTCACAGTATTCTCATGGAAAAAAACCCAAAAGATTCGGTAATATAAAATCCTTGCTGGCCAGCCTGGCTTTAGAATACTTCTTCTTTCAGAATGTGTGTCCACCACCTCCTCCTCTCTAAGGCTTCTACTCCACACACCTTCCAGTCTCACTAAAGAACTAAGGATGCTCTTCTCTCCTAATGAAGTTGTGTTTACTTCTCAGGTCTCAACTTACATACAAATTTTTCCAGAGAATTTCCTGAAACACTCACCTCTCTCACTAGACTAACTTGCTCCAACTACTCACATAGATAGTATAACACTTATCATTCTAATTAAGTAATAATGTGTGGCTTTTTTATTCACATCTGTCTCAAAGGTAGGGACAGTGAGAGAGAATCATGCCATTCAAATAGAAGTTTTATTCTCAGCATCCAGCACATCAATTCACCATAGTAGAAGCTCAGTGAGTATCTGTCCAATTAATGAATAAATGTTGAGCACTGTAAGCTACGCTTATGGATACCATAGTTTAGTAAGGAAGCAGAGAGTTGGCAAAAATAAATTTGAGAAGTATGATAATGGATACATTAAAAAGTGCCTTGTTGTCCACTGGGAGGAAAGGTTTTAATTTAATCTGAGTTGATAAAGAAGGCCTACATAAGGAAGCTTTGTGATTTCAGGCTGAGGATAACAGTGAACAGGAGTTGGCTCTGTGAAGGACCTGAAATGTGAGGAGGACAGACTGAGAGAAGATCACCTGCAAACTCTCTGAAGCAGATGGTGTAGTCTGTGTAGCACTAGAATGCAGATGTCCACTTCACATGATGGTGTGAGTTTGCACAGGGCCATTTCCTTGGTGACCTGTGTGTCCTAAATCCAAGGGGACTCTCCCAGAACATTCTGTTGTGATAAAGATTCTTGGGATTTTCTGATTCCTGAGATGGGAAGAACTTAGTTCATGTAATGGCAAGTTGGGGGCTCAGGATATGATTCAATTTTAATAAAAACAATAACAGCAATAAATAAATGTGTCAATATTTGCTGTAAGTTTATAGACTAAAATTCTTAGTTTATACATATGCAGCCACAAATACACATACACACATGCACAGAGGCAGTTGTGAAAAAACACATACAAATATACAGGATTGGATGAATGCGAAAGGAAACTTACTTCTCTTTTTACTTTATACACTTTTAAATGTATACATTTCTCTGTTGTTTGAAATTATTGTGTGGCATTCTTTTGGCATTACTTATGTAATCAAAACTCTCAAAAGCTAAGTAAAAATTAAGTAGAAATACATTTCAAATTTAGCCAGTAGCTTGTCTAGTATGTCTGACTTAAGTTGACTTTATGGTATGAAAAATGTGCCTTTTTTTAGCTGAGAAATCATCACACTTAGGTATACCTTGGAGAAAGGTAATATGGGACAATAGCACTCGGCAAATTTATGATGAGCTATTGTTTGTATAATTTTTAATCACTCATATTTAAGACTTGATTTTCTATGCTGATACTAACATGGGATTTCTCTGCTTCAAGCCATCTAAATTAGCTATGCAAAGGGGTGAAAGTTCCCGGGATTTGTTTGGCAACACGTTTCTGAAAGGCCGTTTGGTGCAGCTGCCTTCCATTTGTTTCATCAAGAGACTAAGCTAAACTAAAGTAGTTCTTCATGATGAACTGGCAGGAAAGTGCCAAGATAGTTTTATTGCTTAGCAACTTGGCAGGAGGAAATGTTAAAATATTACAATCTCTCGTATCTATGAACTGAGACAGGCTTTCAACTGATGGCTCTCCAGCTCGAACGTGATTAAGATGCAGCCACATGGCCCGGGCTTATATTTTGAGCTGATAGGAGGAAGATAGGGAAGTTGGATACTTTTAAATGTATAAATAGTAATTTCTCAGAAAACATTTGCTGATCTGAGCCAAATGCTAATCTGAGGAATTAAGCTGTCTCCGTTGTGATGTTGATAAGTACTGCAACCCCTATTGATCAATGGGATTTCCTTTGCATTTCAGAAGGAAGGATACGTCTATTGAGAAATTGCACGCCAAGTAAAATCCTGAGATAAACAACTTCATACAAGAGAAACTGACAGTTTACCATACATTTTTGGAATTTAAAGAGTTGTTGTGGTGTGCTTTCTTTTTGTGCAAATTATGGAATAGATGAAAGTGACAGAGTGATGACACCACCTAAATGGAAGCATAATGTAGATGGTTATTGCAGATGCCTTACCACACAGCTCTGCCAGCGCACATGCTTCCTGCAAACCTCCTGCAATTTAAACCCTTGGGCTCCTTCAACTAATGACGCTAATTTGCCAATGGAGCAATGGCTTTCTTCGCTAAACACTCACCTACAAAGGAGTATGTATTAGCCGACAATGTATGTGCTCAGTAAAAACTGGCAATATAACATGCACATTTTAAATATAAAGACCACTTTCATCACTACATTAAATCATAGGGATTGATTTAATAAATCACAGTGTAAATAACTCTCCAGAATTATTACTATTATTTTTAATAAAGGTAATATTTGGGGGAAAATTATATGGTACTAAATTTTTCCAAAAAATCAAATTATTGGGAGAAAAGTTATAAGAGTACCTGGTTCCCTGTTTTGTCTTAAAGGATTTCGGTTCATAATTGAATTTATATTAAGCATGAACAGCAGTTTGCAATTGACATTGTTTCATTCAAAGCTAGTATCTTCATGTACATTCATGAGTCCAACATATATATATATATCTACGTATATATGTACACATATATATTCAATTATATATATAATTATACATATATAATTGAAACTCAATAAGATAAAATGTGTCATGTCCAAAATTAGAGGGAAATTTGACAGCAAAACAAAAGATTAACTAAAATCTTTGTCTCTATGATGTTAAAATTAAGATCCTGCAGATATGACTCAAGACCTATTTGATCTTATTTGTATTCAAACATGCATCTGATGTGTTAAAATTAACATAATTTAAAAAATGCTTCCATCAAATTCAAGAAGAATTCATTTAAATAACCTTCTGATAAATATAAAAGGAAGACATTCATTTTGTTTTTTTCCCCAACTTTATAAAATATCAATTATTATGGCCACTTTGGGAGCAAATTTTAAGAAAGAAAAGCAACTAAAAATGTCACCGACATTGAAAAAGACATTTAAGTGATACCTACTTGTGTGTTCTGAATTGGTTTTAAATATAGTTTTAATCTTTCTATATTTTGTATTATAAAATAAATATAATTCTTTCATATTTCTAACACTTTCACATTGCAAATGAGGTACATAGGCCACTTTATTGATGAACAACTTTCAGAACCTAAATCTTTAAAATTGCTGAGCCAAGCTGCAACACTAAAATACATTATCTAAATTGTGCATGAAAACAATAAAAGACCATGAGTACTATTTTTTAGTACTACAAGTCAGGGAAGATTAACTTGAATTTAAATAACAAATAAAAGTTACCACAAAGGGAGCAAGCTTTTAAACTGTGAAATAGCTCTAGCTCTACAGTAGAAATCTTATGGTTTTCATATGATAATTTTTTTCAACATATCTTTTTCTATTTTTTAATTCAAAATGTAAAAGTAAATTATACCTCCAAGACCATGTTTTTCTCATTCTTTGTTTCAACAAATTGCTGATATCTTTCAAAACTGTCATTTTCTGAAATGAGCAGTAGTGTACACAGAGAAATAAAAGAGGTTATCCAGAGAAATTGCAGGTGCTTCTCCAGCCTAACCTTAATGACAGTTTATTGCTGGTCCATGGGGCCCAGTTTTGTTTAAGCAATTATCAGACTGCTTTATTTATGGCGCCCTTGTGCCTGTTTTTGGCAATGGGGTCGCAATAAATTATCAAAATAACGTTAATGTTACAAGAATAGGCTACTTTAAAAATAGGTGGCACCAATTACAATTGAAGGAGAATAGTTAGATGAAGATTTAAATTATGCCAATTGCTCCTGGGAAATTGATGGGATGGATCGAGAGGATCTTCCCTGACTTCTAATACATGCATGCGCAGGGTTATTTCTCACAATTAAAATCAGAAATGTTAAAGGGGAACTTACAATGAAAGAGAAAGCCAATTAATCTAGTCATCATTAATCACTGAGAAAGACACAGTAGTATACTTAGTAAGTGTCCTAAAGCAGCATCCAGAGAGAGGGAGAGAGACCATCAATCCCAAAAGACTCAAAAAATCTTTAGGGAGATGTAGAATTATGCCAATAGTTTGCATATTATAACGATAAGACAAAGCTGGGAAGGCCTGTTCTGATATAACTTGCATGCACAGTCACACACCTGGGACCACGTAGAATTTACTACTAAAACGTGAATGGCAATTAATGTACAAAATATGAAAAACAAAGTTCAAACAATATGTGTTTGCTGTCAAGATTACTTCTAAGAAAATTTGTAAGGCAAGTTTTGAGTTGTAAGAGGCTCTTAGAAATAGAAACTGTGCTTTGTAAATCATACTGTAAGGCCAGATTAAAGAATTTCATAGAGAGATATTCACACTTAAGACTAACAAATGCTTCGATTTTAGAATAATTCATGAATTTGCTATTTTCTTCATGATGTCAGCTCATGTTTGGTTATTTGCTACTGATCATTTCATCTTCCCTTGCTTACAATTCCAGAATCATTTTATTAATTTATTTAATTATTTATTCATTCATTTATTCTGCTTGGTCAAAGTTTCAGGTGTTAAATGATATAGGCTTCATCACAATAGCAGATTTCTTCCCACTTTTGTTTATGTCTATCTGATTATGGTATCAGCATTATTTTTTCTTTCCAACTTTAGAGCTACAATACTCAGGTAAAGTCGGTCCCTGGGATTTAAAACTCAAAATAATTGAATAATATGACACCACAGTGGTAGAAACATGCTTCTATTAATATGAATAAAACAGAATCACAGGGTAAATGCACATATTAGACTTTTGTATGTGGTTGATTATAATGTATATATAATTGAGGATTGACCAAAGCATGGGTGCAATTAGGCATACAAGTTCTTCTTCATAATGGTATTTTTAGTGCCAAATATAGGTCTCCAAAAGGTTCTTGGTGGGTATACTTATTGTGAGATGGCATGATTTGTCTTTGATGCACACTACCCCATGTTAGAATGAGCTGTTTCATTTGGGGACACAACACAAGTAACAGCTCATCTGCTCTCATTTACAAGAGCTTCTATGTAGTAAAATTGAGAGTTGTGTTTTTTTCCAGCAAGTTCAATTATTTAGGGTAACCTCACTCCACATGGAACTCTTCCCCCAGATGTCCATGTTGTCCATATTGACAACTCCTACCTTCCAAAATGTTTGTTGACTTCTTACCTTCTGGTTGAGCCTGCATTTGCCTCCTCTCCTTCCACCACACCTACCATCTTAATTTCTTTTTTCCTGCTCTACTTCTCTTATTTTTCATCACATATTTCTTTCAAATCTGCAATATAACTTACCTATCCATTATACTTATGACTTATTTGTTACTTTCTTCTTCAGGGTCAGATTTTCTTCTGTTTAGTTTATTCTTGAATTCCAAAGTGTTTGAGAAAAGAACTGGACCATAATAGGTACTGTGAAAGCTGATTATTTGAATTGGGGCATTCTCGTCATACCCAGTGAAAACAGAGTCAAGAGGGCAGGGGCAAAAAGCACTCAGGACACAAAACATTGCTCTCCCAAAATGTAATTCACTGCAAGTCTGGCTGCTGAAAGTGCCTGCTGTAACCTCACAACTGTTTTATCTAATAGTTGCCAAACAAACCTGCTACAAATCTAAGATTTACTTTACCCACCATCAGTCACCAGTCAGACGTTCCAGCTTCCCAGAACCTTACCAATGCTAATGAACTTTCTCAAAGAGCAATAATTAATATTTCTTTTTTTAGTAAAACCTCCAGCCTTCTCTTCGTTCTTCAGACATGCTGAAGACCACTCGGTCTGAATATATGCCCTGATTTGCAAATTATTTATTTCTTAATTAAATGTTAAATTTAGAGATTCCTCTTTACATTTCTATTTTGACTTCAACAGTCCTCATTAATATTTCCTGAATAAATGAATAAAAATATCAGAATTAATGTGCATTTTGAAAAATCTCTTATGAAATATGAGAGAAAAATCTGTTATACGCTTAGATCCTTAACTTGATCGGTATTCACCTTGAAATATGCTTTTATCTTATGTAGTCTGGTTTTAAAATGTTAAGGAAAAAAATACACTTAAAAATGGACCTAGTCATTTTTACTCAGCAGTACCATATCATTTGAAAAACGAAAACACTCTAAGGCGGTTTTGTTCCTTTGTTTTTGTTTGGTCTGATTTTCTTTCTTTTTTTTTTTTCCTTATGTGTTCAGCCTCTTTAATGTGAATAACTGCTCTTAGTTAAACAGTCTCACAGCATCCACTTACAGTCTCCAAGTTGCTTTCACATTCTTTGTAAAAATAAAAGCTCAGTTAAAGACACTACTTTCTTTTATGGTGCAATTTGTTTGCTCTTACACTGGTTCACTCTCTTTGCCATTTGATTTCCTCAGTTGAGCAATTTATGACAGATTTTTAAGGTCTACTGTCCATTACAAAGAGCAGGTTTTAAAAACTCCATCATCATCATAAGCTTAATGAGTAAATGGCTGGAAGCTCAGCAGCTTGGTGGGGGGAGTGTGTGGAGGTTTGACTCTGACAGCCAACTTGCTGTTGCTGTAATTAATAATGAAATGTTAAGTCTCTTGCTTTTTATGTGGAGACAGGGAAAGTGACAGGGATTATGGAGAGAAATAAATTTACATTGTAGCTTTATAAAGCATCCATAGCTTTAGGAGCTCAATATATACAAAATTACTGTTAACATGACAGTTCCCCAAGAAAGTAGTTACAAAAATATTTAAAGCTCTGGGCTGAAGAATCAGGACATTGTAAGAATGGAGAGGAAGAAAAGACACTTTCTTGTATCCTGTCCCTCCTTTCCTGCTGCTCAATTTCTTTCTACTCAGCTGCTTATAAAAAGATGAAAGATATGCTAACTTGTCTCCCTGAGTGAATCTATTCAATGTCACCACCCACGCACTTTCCAACAGTGACAAAAGTTCCTATCACATTCCTCTTCTCAACTCACCTGATGGATCCCCCAACTACACCCCACCCCCTATCCTAGAAAATATTATATTAAGAAGTAGAAGAACTGTGGGATTATCTGAATGAGACCTGCCAGTGAAGTCCATATCACTGACTATTAAGTCATGTTTACCACAAGCTAATAGCCCATAGCTCAAGCGGAACGCTCACCATCTCTAGCCTTGTCCTTCTTCCAAATCAGTGCATGTAGGCATGTGCTATCTTTGCCTATTAGAAGTGATGGGTAGAACTCTTCATCTACCATTCGTGGAATCTGAAGATGGTACAAGGTCATGATGGTCACGCTAGCTTGGTAAACTGGTGGAAAATTAAGTGCAGGCTCTCATAATGAAACAAAATATTATCTGAACTGAAGCATCTTGGATACTGTTCTCTGTAATTCTTCTCCCATTTGCTTATTTATTCCTTCTTGTTTTCCCTGTGCAAACTGCATCATTGCTAATATGGCTACTTGATCAGTGGTAGTTCCTCATCTTCCACCATTATCCCATTTCAGATCTATCTAAAAGCCTTACTTGTGGATAAGAATAACCAAAAAAATCAAATTAACTAGTTAGATAATGACTGTATCTATCTTTTATGCTGAATTAAAATAACATGATTAAGTGAAGACTAGCATACTTTATTTTAACCGTTCACTTCATCATCGACAAGGGTATAAGTTTAATTATGTATATGTACATGTAATTATGTATAGATGTATAGAATACAAACAAATTTAACCATTTTACTTATCCACATGAAATTGCTTCTTTTACATGCAGGATGACTTGTAAATACATTCATAATAGAGAAATTGCAGTGGTTCTGACAATCAGATTTTTGAATTATTTTATGTAGAACTTACTGGTAAAAATTTTATGAGGTAGTTAAAAACCAGATTAAAATCTGTAACTGAAAAATTTGTCATTTGGGTTGAATTACAAATATAAGTCTAAGTTTTATCTTCAGTGCCTCAGAAAGGCTGAATTCAATCCCTTTTAACTAGTTTCTAAAATTTCAGAAGTGCTAAGTTTTCCCACAGATTTCTGAACTGGATTTATGGCAAAGTACAACTTGAAATAGATGGATGGATATGAGAATTCACTAATGATCATTCTCGACTATCTGACTACAACATATTCTGAAAGACAAACTTGCCAAGTTAAATGATCAGAGGTATGCTATGAAATTCTTTTGAAGACCCAGATACCTTCTAGTTATAAGGTACTAGTTAAAATAAGCACCTCTAGAGATATTAAATAACAAAATCAATTTTACTCATTTCTTTTAGAAGAAAAATTAAGAATGTTTCAATGAATCTGAAAAACAATTTTATTTATTATCAATCTTTAACTCTTTATGTTAAATTTCTGCTTATGTGTCTGAGATGATCATCAAAGTATTCAAACAGATAAAATCATTTCAGAGTTGTATCAATTTCTAAAATGACAAATTATTTTCGGGAAATAATATTTAGTTTTGGAGTGGAATGTGTGATAATCAAAAACAAAACATGTTTGATCAAAACTGAAGCCTCTGTGCAAAACACGGAGCATGGCAATGTGAAGCAGTGGCTCCTTGGAATTTGGTTCAGTTAGTGATGGCTGGAAGGAATCCTGGACCTGAGTTGCATAGACAAGGTGGATGAAAATCATATGTAGCCTAAAACCCTGAGACTCCCTCACTCCTTCAATGGTCTCTCTTTTTGAAAGTATTTGGGGAAAAATAAATGTGCCTGGATTAGGCCCTACCTTTTGGTTTTACTTGTATTTGACTACAGGTATGAACCCCACCTAGGGATTTTCCTTTCCTGACCTGGCAAGGCCTGGAAATTAACTATTAGTTGTCTAAACAACTACTCCCCGTTTCCCCCTCCTGTTGTTCTTAAGGAGTTTGTTATTTCTTCCTCTCCTAGTCATGCACAATGCCTCTTGCACAAGGCTGCTGTGTTCTCGGGGGAAATAAAACAATGCATCCCAAAACTGCAACATCTTGAAATTGTGGATGCGTAATATAACCGTGGCAAGTATCTAATGGAAAAAGACAAATAATGTAAACACAACAGCAAAGTCACTTCATGGATGTGCCCTAGTTCCTAGCAAGGGCCCCCTGTTTGCAGGTCTATTCCAAACTCTCTGTGCTCTCAATCACTTCAGAACATTTTATTTTTTTCCTCCATCAGACTCCCCTCCTCATTTCCTCCTCCTAACTAAACTGGTACATCCCTCAAGCAGGTGCTTCCACTCAACAGTGGAAGGAGGTTGTAGCACTTTCAATCAAGGCCTTCCATCTATATATCTATGTTTATCTATACCTGTATCTATGATCTATCTAATTAGAAATAGAGACAGAGAGGGAGGTGAGGAGATTGAAATAGTAGTATAAAAAAAGAAGTTCCCAAAGGCAAAATATCCTATAAAGACTTTGCAGGCCCTCCATGGAGATACATGTTTTAAATTTTTATAAGGAAGAACTTAAGTTTTCCTTTCCATAAGTTTTTGCCTCCTAATCGTGCCCACTGCTGTGTAAGAAAAAGGGGGCACATTACAGTGCCTTTCAAAACAACCCAGCTCCCCTTGGCTAGTAGATCTGAGGTTGCAGTATTTCTTTACCTTGGGCCAGATTAAATACTTAGGCAAGACTCTCTACCAACCAAACATTTCTGTAAATTGAGAGGGAGCTATAGATGAATGTATCCTTCCTTAGGTCTGGATAATCTGAGAATACTTCCTTCAGGTTCATGTAGCAGAAAGAATAATACTTCCATTCTACCTAAAGAGTTTCTTGCAACTGAGATTTGCCTATTGACAGTGGGTGCAAAGCTGAGAGAAAAGAGCCACATTCAGGATGTGGCTATCTCTCAACAAGGAACAAGGTGACCTAGAATAGTAGGAGTGGAGCCATTTAATCACTCAGGAAATAAATTTTGCCATTCCAGTTCTAAAACTCTAAGAGCATTTTTCGACAGGCATGTGGGAAGTAGAATACTGATACCAATAGCTAAAATCAATCTATCTTATCCCAGCAACTATGGAGCCAAGTTGGGTTAGGACTATGGTCAGAGATAAACAATTAAGTCTGCAGAGCCTAACTAGGTAACTAATTGGTGAAGATGCATTTTGTAAGCTGTGACAGTTGTGTCTAAATCATTGAAAAAGTATGTTTCATCTACAATTGGTAGCCAATGCCGAATTCCAGATGTTTGATTTCCTAGTTTTCTTAGAGATAGTGATTTTTAAAATGTTTATGTAGAAGCTGACAGTTAGACATATCTATACATAGAGTCGTACCTGAATGTTCATAGCAGCTTTAATATTAGCCCCAACCTGGAAAAACCCCAAATTTCCCTCAAAATTATAATGGATAAAATGGATAAATTCAATGAACATTATTCCTAAAATGAAATACACTAAGCAATAATAAGGAGCTGACCACTGATGTACTCAATAAGAACAAATTTCAAAAAACAAGATGCTGAGATAAAGAAGACAGAAACAAAATAATGCACATGTATGATGTCACTTATACAAAATTTAGAAAAGATATATCCTGTACATAATGACAGAACCTCCATCAGTGGTTGCCTGTGATCAGGGATTGAGATGGTGAGGGCATGTGAGAAGTTTTCATATATGATGGAAATGTGCAGGGGATATACAATTGTCAATATGCATCAAACTGTCTAATTTAATATATGTTTTATTGTATATGATAAATTGATTTTCTAAAAATCATATACACTAACTCAAACTTCTTATAGCTGAACACATTTTATATTAGGTGTTTATCTTATATTTACAGATGATGTCTAGTAAGCCTCAGAGATGTCCAGTGGGATCTGGGATTTGAACCCATGTCTATTTCAATTTGTCCTCTCATTCCCTTTTTACACTCAGCTTTTCTTTTAACATGCTCACATTTTCCCTACGACTACAAAATGAAAATAAACAGAACCTTTATTTTTAAGCTCTTATCCTACTTTGCTTCTTCTGTGCAAATGTTTTAAAATAATAGTTGACATTTATTCCTTCTACTTCCATACCTCATCCATCTCTTGCATTCTAATGTCCATCGCCCGCTTACTGAAATAGAGAAAAAAGTCACGATCATCCAGCACTGCCAGTGATTCTCAACTTTTTAAGTAATTGACTTTGTGTGTTTCTTCAGAACACTTTCTCCTCTTAAGATTTCTGGTTCCCTTTTATGTCTCCCACTGCCTTTCCATCATCTTTTTGTTTGACTCTTTAAACTCCTCCCTTTTTCCTTTTTTCCCATGGTCTCTTCAAATATATCTAAACTAATGCGTTCTGCATACTTATTTTGAGTCTTTTTGTGAGGTCTAGTCCAACTGGCAAAATATGGTATCTCAATTTCCTACCATAAACTCATCATATCTCAAATTTAAATTTCTCATCTTTCTTCATGCAAAACACCTTGAACCTCAATTTAAACTTCATCATATTCTTCAATTTCTTCTCCCTTTGTTTTATTACACAGCTTATTTTGGCAAAATCCTAGGGTATTTTAATGTGTTTTTCATGTGCATCACCTCTCCATATATTTACAATTGTTCTGGCAAAAGTTTATATTGATAATTAGTCTTAGTGATTATAATTATGCCCTACTTTTGCTTTCTGTAATTCATCCTACACACTGTTGCTAAGTAATAATACCACTAAATCACAGCTCAGAATATATATTTTATTGCCTGCTGGTTTTCTATATCTATGAGAACACTTATTTCGAATGAAACAAAAACGATTAAACACGTAAAGCTGGAGCACTGAAAAGCACCAGGCATGCTAAGGGCCAGGGATAGACAGATGAAAGAGCATGCCCGCTATCTTTCTCTTAACATTCAAAGACCCGTTAATTTCCATTTCAACATGCACTTTTTGTCAATTTTGTTTTCCACAGATTACTTTCAAGCATCCTTTGAAATAAACCCACTAAGATCATTTTGCCCAGAGCTTGCCCGTTTTGTACCTCTGCTGAGATTTTTCTCATTTCCTGGAATTATGACAATATTAAGCATAACTGTAAAAATTCTAAGTATCATTTGTATAGCGTAATAGTAGATCCAGTCCAACACTGCCTAGAAACTTGCACACACCATTGCATTTCACCCTCGCAACAATTCCATGTGGTTGGTTCAGCTATGTCTACTTCACAGATGAAGATATGGAAACTCAGAGGTGTTACATAACTTGCTTCCATCACACAAGTCACAAAATCAAGCCAGTCTGTCACCTAAGAAACCCTAACCCTTCTCACTTTAATACACTACCTTTATTATCCTACATTTAATTTATTTTTTATACAACTTTGCTCATGACAATCTTTGTTCCTTTAGTTGGAAGTTTTTATTCCTCAATTTCCCAAGGGGAAGATTTTACAGGTTAAACATTTTTGTCACTTGTCACTTAGCAACTTAACATTCTAGTCATTTATGCACAAGTTACTATCTCTACAAAACGTGAACAATTTGAAGATGAAAAATTATGTATTATATATCTTAAATCCATCCCACTGTAGTTCTTTACAGAGAGACAGTACTCAGTAAATATTTATAAGAATCATGACATGCAAATGTGCATATTCTCTCTTATTAGAATATAATTTAGAAAATGTACTTGACAAATGAAAAGTAGCATCAGATTATTCTTGTTCAAAATATTCCTCCTTGGTAAACACTAATACCTGGACTAATTTTTGAAGACTGTACTTCTCAGTGGGGGAGAAGAATTGGGAAAAATTCTTTAGTGTGAGAATATCTTAGGGGAACAGCTATAGTTTTAAAAAATACTGCTTTGTTTTATTCCAGTTATTTCTCTTTTATCAAAATTTTAAATTTGTATTTATAGTTGATATAAAAGGATATGTATCTTGAGAGATCGTGTGTCAAAATAATTGAAGGACATTTTTTGTCATTTGTGTGAAATAGAAGAAGTGTTTTATTTCTTCTTCTATGTGTTTTATTTCACACATTTGTGTGAAATAGAAGAAAATGATACCTGTGTGTGATAGAAATAAGTTTATATCCTATGAGCAGGTAACAAAAAAGAAAAAAAAAACTAGCTGGACTTTTTCTCTTAGGATTATATTTTCTTTGGATGACAATGATAAAAGTTCTCTTTACTATGTAAATTTGCCAGTCTAAGAATAGAGTGTATTATCTTACTGAGTTTCATCTTGTACCCTCAGCATCTATTATTCCTATTAACTCCAAGTTCAACCTCCACCTTGCCCTTTTCTTCTTCTAATTGGCAATGGGCAAATCATTTCTGGTCAAGATCAGGAGCTCATCTGTGGCTCTAACCTTGAACATCAATCCAACTCAAGAGTGAATCCCATTAACATCAGACTAATAAATGCAAAGATCCAGTGAAGAACAATAATGAACTTTGGCTCACACATCAGTCTTTGGCACCTCAGAAACTAAGTGTAATGAACAGTAGGTCACAACCTATAGCTTTCATAAAATGTCCCAGTTGAGATAGCATATTACACATTTAAAACAGTAATGGTGCCAGGTCATTCTGTCAGACATTTGTCAAGTAAGGATGTGCTCCTACACATCTAGCTCTTCTAGTAAACCAATATTCAGACACATAATGGCTGCTTGTATCTTCAATTATCTCCATCCTATCACATTCAGAGCTGCTTCCAGAGAGTCCAATACTACAGCCTTAGGCTATGGGATGATGATAGCATACCCTACAAACACATGAGAGCAACCTCAAACCTTCTAAATTGTGCCAGTTCTGGGCTTCTTTTGCATAATCATTTATCTGAAAGGACAAGAAATAATTTGCAATTTCAGAGTGTGATGCAAAAGACACAGATATTGCTCAACTTCAAACTACTGAGGGGAAGAAAAATAAGATTTTGGTTAATGTTCTATGGTTCAAATATAGTAAAGTCATCCTGGATTCCTGTCCTGACCTATTCTTTCCTTACCATTTAATTACTTCTTTTCACCTACTTTTCTCTTTTATTTTTATTTTTTTTTTTTTTCGAGACAGAGTTCCACTCTTGTTGTCCAGGCTGGAGTGCAACGATGCGGTCTTGGCACACTGCAACCTCCGCCTCCCAGGTTCAAGGGATTCTCCTGCCTCAGCCTCCCGAGTAGCTGGGATTACAGGCATGAGCCAACATGCCCAGCTAATTTTTGTATTTTTGTAGAGACCAGGTTTCACCATGTTGGCCAGGCTGGTCTTGAACTCCTGACCTCTCGGCCCCCAAAAGTGCTGGGATTACAGGCTTGAGCCACCGTGCCCAGCCATTTTTCTCTTTTACTTATTTATTTTAGCATCCTTCTCTCTTCTTATAGCTCATCTTTTATATGTGCTTATTTGAAAATGCACAATATAGTTGTTTTTGATAGACTTAAAATGATTTCTGCGGCATGCTATGAATATGTAATACCCCCGCAATCCACCCCACACATATTTTGAGAATTTTTATCCTTCTTTGTAAAATTAGCCAGAAGTCCCTCTGTTAACACATGTTCGCTTCCTCATTCTTTGGTGAATTTTGTTTTTCCCATAAGACGTATTTTAACACGGGAATGAATAAATGTATAGGGAACATGAGACAACCTGTTTAACATCCTTTTTATACGCCATTGGGGATGATAAAGAGCAATGGTCATTTACTTAACATCTTGGTAATTAGCCGCTTGGAGGGTGCAAGGCCTGTAACCAGTCTTTTTGATGCATCCGCCATTTCTGCAAGTGGCTGGAGTGGAGGTACAAATGAAGCTGAATAGAGGAGAGACTCTGCAACTGTATTCACTGATAGAGTAATTGCCTGCTTTGTGAATAGGATGCATTCTGGAAGTATATCAAATATATAGAGCAAATACTCAAATAGAATAGAACAAGAAATGGTTACAGTAAAACAAACTTTTCCTGATATTTACCACTTTTTATATTTTACTCAAAGTGTATATATGTTTTTTTTATATGCAAGATAAACTGATAATTTCAACACAATCTGCACTACTTTGAAAAATGTACACCAGGGCCTTTCATGACTTGTATACAGTTCTGGCCATTCTCTTTATCTCAAACCGAAGAAAGATATGATGCAGGCAGTAGTTTTTTCTTAGTGCCTCATAGTATCTAATAGCAGAAAGTGAGCCGCATAGCGGAGCACATTAGTTTTTATGTATCTACAGGACAGAAGGGCCACTTAGCTGATGGCTCCAGGTTTCCTTTGATATAATCTAATGTTCCTATGACCTCAAAGACTGAACACATTTCCCTAAGTGCTTCACTTAGCACCCAGGAGCAACTTGGAGTCTTCGCAGAATAAAATCCATTATTTTAATGTAGATTAATACATGGGTACTTATATCTATGCAGGTCTATAATAGTTTATTCCTATGTAAGCTTTATTAAAAGCATTGGTATGTTTTACATAAAAAGTTAATGTGAATATTAGAAAAAAAGGACAATATTAAAGCAGTTTGTAGAATTTGTTCCCCCCCCAAAATGAATGAAATACACAATAGATTTAAAAAAAAAAAAACAATGAAAGTGAAATGAGGAAAAGGTCTAATTTTCCCCTTAAATTTCACAATGTGTCAGCCAGACAGAGCATAATTTTGGAATAAACAAAAAGCCAGGGAGTCAATACAGGGTTTCTCCTTCTATCAGATATCTTGCTTTGGCAGAAAGTAAGAAGAACATCTCAAAAACCTCATTGGTGTTCTTAAACTGAGGGTGGAGACAGGGCGTGCAGGCTACTTGAGGAAAGACTGGGATGTGTACATGGAACTCACTTGCTCAATATGAATCCATGGCAACCTCAGGTCTAGGCCAGAAGTCCTATGGAGTATTTCCTTGCAGAGGTTGGTGGTAGAAATGCAGTCTAAGATGAGCCATTGACTCAGCTGGAACTAACTAAAACCAGCAGAGATGGCTAAGCCACTAAAGAAACAAAACTCAACAAAAAATATGGTTGTCCAAATGCCCATCAATTGATAGACTGGATAAAGAAAATGTGACACATATATACCATGGAATACTATGCAGCCATAAAAAAGAAAGAATTCATGTCTTTTGCAGGGACATGAATGAAGCTGGAAACCATCATTCTCAACAAACTAACACAGGAACAGAAAACCAAACAGCACATGTTCTCACTCATAAGTGGGAGCTGAACAATGAGAACAAATGGACACAGGGAGGGGAACATCACACACCAAGGCCTGTCGGGGGGTGGGGGGCAAGGGGAGGGAGAGCATTAGGACAAATACCTAATGCATGTGGGGCTTAAAACCTAGATGACAGGT
Organism: Homo sapiens; assembly: GCF_000001405.40. NCBI lineage: Eukaryota > Metazoa > Chordata > Mammalia > Primates > Hominidae > Homo > Homo sapiens. Next base: position 1,845,729 of record NW_025791777.1, on the reverse strand, counting down.
TGATAGGTACAGCAAACCACCATGGTACATGTATACCTATGTGACACAATTGCACGTTTAGCACATGTATCCCAGAATTTAAAGTTAAAAAAAAAATGGTTGTATCAAACCCCAAATCTTGAAAATATAAAAACTTAAAAAAAAGTAACCCACTCCCCTTGAAGCAAGGACAGGCGCACCTTACACGGGAACAGACATCCTCTGAAATGCAATTATTTTGCCTTTTGTTTGTTTGTTTGCTTTGTTTTTTCTACTATTTCTTTTTAATTGAAAGAGTAGTAATGCAGTAATAGAATTATAACTGGTGGCATCACAGGGCTGCATATTAGTAACCTTACCTGAAGAGCTGTATAAATATCTCATGCACATGTTCTGAAAGAAGTGGAGCTTTATGGCCCAGAGTGATAAGGAGGAAAAAATAAAAAATGCCTCCATACATTCAAATTTTATTAAAAGTTGAATTAAAACATAAACATGTGACAGATTTTAAAATTTAATTATTTGCAAAAGCGTTTTTTGAAATTTACCTCCTAATGTTTTGCCTATAAATTCATGTTTTTATAAATGAACCTTTTTTATTGCTAGAAGGTGGCAGGTTCCACATCATTCTTATTCCTATATCATTATTTTTATAAGATCTAAGAACTGAGAAATCTTGTTCTCAGAAATAAGTGGATAGGATTGGAAGGGCTTTGTTATAACAATGACATTTGATTCTTTGAACTCCTTTGAAGAATGACAACAAAAATTGCAGATGTCCATTGACAATTCAACTAGGTATTTCTTCAAATTTTTAAAAGTAATTAAAAATCTAAAACAAAACAAAACAAAACAAAAAACACAAATGATTAGCAAGATTTTGTTACCCAGTCATCAAGGTGACTTACTTTTGAGAAGTGGAGATGAATGTTTTGAATTGCCCCTTCGTTTTGCATCCTGGAAATTTCAACACCTGGGGACAAAGCACCAAGGTAAAGTTAAAAAAAGTGGAGATATATTTTTCTCTTTTAAAAAAAGAAACATTGTGGGAGAAGAATTCTTTTGAAAAAGAAGAAATGAAAGAGGGACAGCAAGAATGATGAAAGAAGTATTCGAATGTGACACCTGGAAACCTGTTCTTTAAAAGTCTTTGCCTGGCCGCAGTACGCCTCACAAAGTCTTTGTGTAATCTCCAGGGTTAGCAGGCCTCAGATCAAAATTAGAAGCCTAAATGGCAAACTAACCAAATTGGTTTTTTTTTTATAAAGTAAAATCTCTCAATTCACTTTTAAAATAAACTTAATCTGGTTTGAAGTGTCCCTATGACAACCATCTCAATACTGAATTTTAATTATATGATAGGTATGTAGCTAATTACATCAAATAATAGTTAACAGTTAAATCGATCTCTGGCTGTATTTTTATTTTTATTTTTTTGAGAGCTTCTCTCTCTGTCATCCAGGCTGGAGTGCAGTGACATGATCTCGGCTCACTGCAACCTCTGACTTCTGGGTTCAGGCAATTCTCATGCCCCAGCCACCCAAGTAGCTGGGACTACAGGCAGGCACTACCATGCCTGGCTAATTTTTTGTAATTTTTTTGTATTTTTAGTAGAGACAGGATTTTACCATGTTGTCTAGGTTGGTCTTGAACTCCTGGCCTCAAGTGATCCATCTGCCTCAGCCTCCCAAAATGCTGTGATTATAGGCGTGAGCCACTGCGCCTGGCCTCTGGCTGGTATTTTATAAACTTAATAATGAAGAACTGATTCTCTACCGAAAAAAAAATGTATATATACAAAAAAAGAAAATGGTGAGGTATGGTGGTGCATGCCTGTAGTTCCAGCTACTCAGAAGGCTGAGGTTGGAGGATTGCTTGAGCCCAGGAGTTCAAGGCTGCAATGAGCCGTGATCATGCCACTGTACATCAGCCTGGGCAACAGAGCAGGACCCTGTCTCATAAAGAAAAATAACAACAACTACCACAAAATGAAGAATTGGCGAATGTAGTAACTAGATCCAAGTTCATGGTTCTTACAGTTACCACTTCACAAGAAAAAGCCTGTAAGATTTAAAGCTGAGGATCACATGGCTAGTAACACTGAAAGAAGCACTATAGAACAAGGGAGATGAAGTCATTCTGAACATTCAGATTACTTATTTTTAACAAACAACTTAATATCTCTATCTTTTATATACTTTTCAGATTATAAGTGTAATTATGCTTTAGAGATAAAGACAACCATGCAAAATCGTCAAAAACACTTCCTTGTAAAATGAGCCCTTCCTTCAGCTGACAGGGTTGACAGGAGATCCCAGGTGGGGAAAACACACCAAAAAGATTCTTATACTTAGGCTTTGCTCCACTAGGGACATTCACAAACAATCTCCAGGACATATTGGTTTCCTTGGGACTAAGGTATTTGTACAATGTCCATTTATAGGGGGTTAAAGTGCCTGTGATAGTGGTTGAAAGTTTTGACCCACTTTTACAGATTAATCAGCATTGTGGTGGTTACAGAATTTCCAGATAAGGCATGCTTGCTCTTCTCTAGACAAACTCATCCACGATATCTTAGTAACACTGATTCTGAGTTACCTTTAGTATTTTAGGTAGATCCACACAGTGTGATTGCTAATGTTATTTGTACGGATTTAGGAGCCACCGAGTGGCTATCATTGAACTGTCAAATAAATCTCAATACCTAGTTAAAATTCTTTTACAAGTAACTTTTCATAAAGAGGAATAAATGTTTACAGTAAGGGAGTATTTTGTTTACTTGGGCAGCTTTCTATGAAGAGGAGCATTTCTTGCAAAGCAATATGCCTGAGAATTAACTTTAGATTTCATTTCTATTTCACTGGAGTAGATATGTTTAAATTAACTTATAATTTCTTAAGGAGTCAGATAAAACATTAATTTTCTTTTTAATTTCTATACTTGCAGCTAAGAGTCGAAAATGAACCTAAGAGCCCTTCATTCCAAAATCATGCACAATTTCTAGTGCTTGTCTACTATCTACATAAATGTTCTCTCTCTCATATACTCTTCACTTTTTGCCTCAGGCTGGATTGTGAGTTCCAGTTACAAAAATTGATTCAGCAACCCAGGCAGATGGAGTCTTCAGAGATAAGAGAATATCCAAAACAAGGTTAATTTTCTCTATTCTAGGTGAAAACTGTCAACAGATAATGTAAGATCAGAGTTAATTAAAGTTATGCCATTTAAGTCAGTTTTGGACAAGATGAGAGTTTGAATCACTGTCAGCTAAATATGTGGTTGTCCTTCATCCTGGAGGGGAAAAAGAAGGCAGTTTAAGATTTGTGCATTTTTGCTAATGTTATGAGATGTGAATAGCAAAGTAATCTCATCAATAGTAATAGTGTGGGTTGAAATATACTGTGTTACCTTATAGAAATGTTTTCTATCATACACGGGACCAGTTGGATACTGTAAAACTGACAGGGAAAAGAAAGTAAGAGGATTCTACTAATTAAACAGTATCTACAAGATTTCACAACAAAGGGGACACTGTTTGGTAACATTGTCTGGAAGAGTATTTGTTTAAGTAGTAAGTAAAGGTTTGGCATAATTAAGTTCATTTAGTGTAAGGGTTGCTACAACGTTTCCTCAATAGTTATAAAAATAAGCTAAGACTGCTCAAATGAAAAGAAATACAGGTTATTCAGTCAGAGCTTGCTGTAGCCAGGGAGTTGGCCACCATCACTTGCAATATGGCAACGAATCAAAGGCAGGCAGGCAGTGAGAAAGCTTTATCGTGGGAAAACCAGAAGGCTGCAGGAATGCCCTGGTTGGAAATTATTGTCATGGGGAATCTAAAGGTTGGATAACTAGAAGCAAAACATCCTATTTGATGGGTGAAGCTGCATAATTAGCATTCTCTGGTTGGTTCTAAATTGGAAGCTGGAGGGAAACACTTAGGGAAGCTGGAAGTTACCCACCAATTCCTAAGCATTTGGACCAATCGCTGCAGACTGGTTGCTGCAGAGGTCAGAGTTGATTTTCTGTGTGTGGAACCACCATTGTCTGTTAGTGTATTCAGTCTCTCATAGTATAAAGGCCGAAACTGCTTCAGGATCCAGATAAGAAGCTCTAGAAATTAGAATTTATTAGGGTCATGTAGTCCTTAGTCTGCCTCATGGACATAGTGATTGGTCTAAAGAAGCATTCTTCATTTCTGCTGCCCTAATCATATTATTCCAGCTTCCACAGACTGATTCAATAGGTCCCGAAGCTAAATTAAGAACCAGGATTCTTCAATAATACATTTGAACTGGAAACAAAGAAAGAGTAAGACTCCGTTGGAAAATGGGAGACTGTGAAACTAGGAATTGACAGTGACTATCTCTACAGCTGTGACAGACGTTAACCTGAGAGATAAAGCTGAGACCCAGAAGGCAAAGAATGTTACATACACAGAAAGAACATGTAAAATTGGAGCATCTATGTTTCTGCAACACATGAAGTATAACAATACCCCACCTTTCTTGAGATATTGCCTATGAGCCAGTTAATTGCCCTCGTTTGTGAAACTGTTTGTCTCCTGCAGCCATTGAATCCTGATTAATACTCATTAAATCTCTATGATGTCATAGTATATATCAGGCACTATGGCTCATATTATTGTTTTCCCCTGATATTTGGTTATTTTCTTTTCAAGGCACATGGAGACGGACCTCTACCTGCAATGCCCCCCTTGCACTTGGACAGAACCATGTGACTATTTATAAGCTATGACACATGAGCAGACATGACATGACGGGATTGATGGAGCAATGACCTCATCTTTTCTCCTGCCAAATATTATGAAAGAGGACTCAAGTCACTCACCTGAGGGACACTGGGTGAAAGTCAGTAATGAAGCTGAAAGGTCGCTAAATGCTGGCAAGTGAGATGGATTATAGTGTCTAGACTTTTTCCTGAGGTCATTCTATATCCAGCAGATATCTTTCAGTATATAGTCTATTCAGAACAATGTGCTAGTGACTATTGAGTGTGGTTACATTCTTTTTTTTTTTTTTTTTGAGATGGAGTCTCACTCTGTCCCCTAGGCTGGAGTGCAGTGGCACAATCTTGGCTCACTGCAACCTCTGCCTCCTGGGTTCAAGCAATTCTCCTGAGTCAGCCTCCTGAGTAGCTGAGACTACAGGCACCCACCATCACGGCCAACTAATTTTTGTATTTTTAGTAGAGATGGGGTTTCACCATATTGGCCAGGCTGGTCTTAAACTCCTGACCTTGTAATCTGCCCACCTTGGCTTCCCAAAGTGCTGGGATTACAGGAGTGAGCCACCAAGCCCAGCCAGTTACATTCTTTAAACAAGGAGTGGACGTACCCTGAAACAAGAGATTAGTCAAAGAGATTTTGCTATTCATGGGACCTAAAAGGTGGCTGTACTTCCCTTTACTGCTTTTCCATACACAGCAATGCACGCTGTATGGGTTCTTATAGGTCAGAGAGTGAAAGAGAACCAGGACCTATAAAAGAATACAAGTCTCTAAAATCAGAAAGTTTATTATTTAAAAAAATAGTTACGTGCCAGTCTGCTTATAATTTATTTTTATGACTGAGAGTGCCTTTCATAAGCACATTCTGGCAAACTATAAAACAAATAAATTGAAATTGAATAAAACCTTTAGACATTAGAAGTGTAGCACCAGATTTAGTACATAACTGCAAAACTTAAACATGCAATTTTACATCTGCAAGCACATTAAATTGAAAGAAACTTTAACTTAATTTAGATACATTAATTGATACAAACTTTTCTGGTATATAGCACTTCTTGGCGCATTGAGTATTCTTAATCTTTAAGGCACATGAATATAATACCTTAGGAAAGATCTGTTCTCCACACATTTCCTCTATAAAGTGCCAAAAAAAAAAATAACGAAGAGCCAGTTTGTCTTCCGCATCAGTGTGATTTAGCATACATAAATAAGTATCTTTTCACACAAAATAAAAGGTTCAGAACCCAAAGTGTCTGATTTTTATAGTGCTTTTTCTTTCCTTTTAAAAAGATAGCAAGATGAGGGTAAGAGGTAATTTAAGAGAAGTAATCATCTTCTAACAGCCAGCTTGCAGAAACTAAAACAAATATCAATGATGTAAAAATGTTGTTTTGACACTTTGGTAAATGAAAGTGTGAGATGAGTAAGAATATATTATAGGTGCTTGTATATCAAAGGCCTGTGAAAATGGCTGATTATAAAGGAGAAAGTTAATGATCTCTAATTGTGTTGTAATGTAAATGCAGTATCACCGTAATGAAGAGAACAGATTTGCATGTTAACAAAAGAAATATTAGAGGAGTGAGTGTAGGATGTTTGGGATAATTAATTCCATCCTCCACTCCTACATACATATGCATATACAAACTCAATTCAATTTTAAAGAGAACCCGAAGAACCAAAAATAGACTGAACACACTTGATGTTGTATGGGAGCTTAAATTACTATTTTTGTTGTTCTCTGTGACTATCTCATTTAGTTTCTATTGTGTTTGCAGTTTCTTCCAAGGTGATTTTTAATGGATTGAGTAATGCATAAAAATTTGCAGAAGTATGCAGAAAGTTTGTATGCAGGGCCATGTAGAGCTTTTATCCTACAGTAAATCCTAGTAGTTTGCTGGTGCTGTGTGATTTTTTTTGTTTGTTTAGGGTTTTTGTGTGTGTGTGTGTGTGTGTGTGTGTGTGTGTGTGTGTGTGAAGCTTATTTATTCCATTTCAAGAAAAAGAAAAATAGACAAATTAGAATACCAAAAATAATTTGCAGCCAGTATCAACCAATTTATATTCAAGCTGAAAAATTAAAATAGCTTTCAGAGAATGGTAGAAGCATATTATTTAAAAAACAAACTATGAAGAAATGGACAGAAGCATGTAGACATAGATAACAGAAATTTAAAGTAAAAAGTAGAAAATGAAATTATTCCCTTTTATACCTGAAAGCAAATGATTTCCATGATTCTAAGCCTCTGTAAAAAGCAGCAACAATTTCATCATTTTCCTATTCACTCTTCATATTATCTAAATCAGGATTCTGCAAAATTATTTTCCTTGAATTACTTTTAAAACATACCAGAAATGAATTCACTACTCTAATTATCACAGCAATTCAGGGAATTATTAAAAATCAAATCAAATCAAATGAAACTTCGTAAGTTGTTTACAAAAAAACTTCAGGTTCATTTGCTTTTAATGCAAGACATGGCAATGTATCTCGGCCTGTGGATGTCCTCTCCATGTTAATAGTAAGTGCAAGTTTATGAAAAGACTAGACACCGACACCACCTGGGGAAATCAAAGCTTACTTACCTAAAATGCACAGGAGCCAAGAAGCATGTTTAAGTTCATGGGAGGGTAATGAATGCTGTTCTCTAGAACATGTTTCAAGGAGCTGGACACGTTTCCTTACCAGGGGAGACTCACACTGCAGATCATAATTTCTGAGCAAGTGAGAAGTGAGAGTTCCATTGCACCTGTGGGAAGCTCTATCCTCCAAAGTGTAGCTTTACACACCCAGCTTGAGTCATTCTTCTTTCAGGTGTATCTGGACATACTCCAGGGACTAGCTTATCTGTGCCTGGTGCACTTCATTTATCACGATTAAACAATATACAATTTGACTGAAGGGCACAGTATAGGTCAGTGCATTTATGCATAACAGCAGGACTTATTAATCATCCTCAGCTCCTGCAGGCTAAGAAATCCTGCTTAAAATTTATTTGCATGCTTAGAACTAGAACAGAGCTTCGAAACTAGAAAAAGGGTCACTTACTCTGATGTCTCTGGAAGCTCATGAGGTCAGCCCTGAACGCTAAGTTGCACTTCTTGAAACAGTTTTAATGCCCACGGCTATCTCCCAATTCATTCTGAGTTTGAGAAGGGAAAAAAATGAAATGATATTTAGTAGACTCCTATAACAGTTTGGGTAACACCAGCTGTTTTAACAAACAATCCTCAAAGTTAAAGTGGCTGAAAGTTTAAAATGTGTTTCTCATTAATAACATTCAAATAAAGGCATTTCTTGTCTGGGTGGCTTTTACCAGGGAGTAATTCAGGAAACTGGCCTCCAGTATTGTAGCTCCAACTTCCTAGAGGGCTTCAGAGTTCTCCTTTTTCAAATGACACATGTTGAAAGAACTGGAAGAAACATTTATATGTACCACCCTCTAAAAGTGGTACACATTAACCGGGACACAGTTGCATGGAAATATAGCCAAGCTATGTATCCAGAAAGAAGAAAAAACAAGTGTGGTAAAGAGCTATCAGTCTATGCCTCAGCTTTTCAAAATCCAGTCTTACGGCGCACAGATCTAGAGAGAATATGTAGACCTTATATTATGTAAAGGCATTCACAGAACTATTTTTGTTGTTGTTAACATACTTGAGCTTCCCTACGGCAATGTTCTTGTAGGTTTCCCAGACTAATAGCCTTCAAAATGGAGGTGAATATATACATACAAGAAAAAAATAAGTAACTTAAGTCTTCTAATAAGATATGTTTTATAAAAATATGAAGAAGATATAGTAACAGCTCCTTACAGCAGTGTAAGACCTTTCTTTCATCCATCTCCTCACCTATGGTTACTATCCTCACAATCCCATTTCCCTCTATGTACATTTTACTTTATAACATTATGTTCTCATACACAAAAAATACAATAAAAAATTTTCCATTATCCAACAGAATTTATAAAGCCTACAAAATTTCTAAATATATCATTTTATATGTAATGAATATGCTTGTTATTTCCCATTAAAAAAAAATGCAGCGGCCGGGTGTGGTGGCTTATGCCTGTAATCTCAACACTTTGGGAGGCCGAAGTGGGTGGATTGCTTGAGCTCAGGAGTTTGGGACCCACCCGGCCAATGTGGCAAAAATCTGTCTCTACTAAAAACCCAAAAATTAGCCAGGAGTGGTGGTGGGCACCTGTGGTCCCAGCTACTCATGAGGCTGAGGTGGGAGGATTGCCTGAGCTCAGAAAGCGGAGTTTGCAGTGAGCCATGGTTTTATCACTGCAGTCCAGCTTGGCGACCACTTGTTCTTTTTTGCTTGTTTCTTTGTCTTTTGCTTTACTTTGCATCATAGAGATACGGGTGAAAATTTCTTTAACCCTTTAAGTGTTTCTACTTTGTCTCATATGCTATACCTCATTTGTTACTTGGAGTATACTCTTGGCCATGCTATTAGAAATGGATGATGTAAAAATGGCGCCCCCTGAAGTCAAGCAATGTGAAACATTTGTAAATCTCTACAACAAATGCCCTAAATTGTAGTCGCTTAATTAAAATAATTATTTTCTATTTACTGTAATAGTCAACAGGTAAGAAATGCAGTCTTGCATGGATGTCCCACTAAAAAATATATGCCATCTTTTAGTCCGTTGATACTTAGCATATTGCCCTCATCTTCATGGACAAAAATTGGCAATTTTTCTGTAAAATCTCTCTTTCATATTACTGATGACAAAATTCTGCACTTTATCTGAGGAAGAAAATGACAAGACTGACATGTGGGACTCACTTCTCACTGTATAATACCATCCTTGGCTCCTGCCCCAGGATAATTTTGATATTTTTAATTATCAAACCAAAACCAATAAGTTATATAAAATATAGGCAAAGTTACATTCACTGGGAGAATTTTAGCACTCTCAAAATAACATATCAGTTCCTATTATCCAGTAAATTCCTACCACGTCCCACGCTCCCGGAAGTGTGTCCGGATTCATGTTTTTCTGATAGGTGAATGCAAAGTCACTAGCCATTGCCATTTGCCAGGGATTCAGAGAGACAGAAGTGTGGAAATTAACATTTAGATGTATGAGAAATATATGCAAGAAACTGAGACTGAGCAGGCAATTTGTAGATTGCATACAGTGTAGCCTAAACATGTTTGCTTCAGTGAATTTGTCATTTCTTGCATGGGGTAAGTCTAAAATTATTTATTGTTTAATTTTTTTCATTAGAAATAAACCCTCTTGGAAGTAATTAAAATGCATATTTCACAAAAAATTAGTGCGATGATGATGACAATCATGTAACTTGCAAAACTTGAGTGTTGTTTTATCACAAACCTTATGAAAACAGATGCATCCTTGCCTTAAAAAGGAGAAGGAAAAAGGAAATGCTCTGGGCACAGCATGAAGCCCAGAAAAAGAATATTTCCAACAGCCCCATGGACATATGGAGAGGATAGAACTTAACAGGGCTCATCATCTCTGGTCATCAGAGAAATGCAAATCAAAACTACAATGAGATAGCATCTCACACCAGTTAGAATGGCGATCATTAAAAAGTCAGGAAACAACAGGTGCTGGAGAGGATGTGGAGAAATAGGAACACTTTTACACTGTTGGTGGGAGTGTAAACTAGTTCAAACATTGTGGAAGACAGTGTGACGATTCCTCAAGGATCTAGAACTAGAAATACCATTTGACCCAGCCATCCCATTACTGGGTATATACCCAAAGGATTATAAATCATGCTACTATAAAGACACATGCACATATATGTTTATTGAGGCACTATTCACAATAGCAAAGACTTGGAACCAACCCAAATGTCCGTCAAGGATAGCCTGGATTAAGAAAATCTGGCACATATATACCACGGAATACTATGCAGCCATAAAAAAGGATGAGCTCATGTCCTTTGTAGTGACTTGGATGAAGCTGGAAACCAGCATTCTCAGCAAAATATCACAAGGACAGAAAACCAAACACCGCATGTTCTCACTCACAGGTGGGAATTGAACAATGAGAACACTTGGACACAGGGCGGGGAACATCACACACAGGGGCCTGTCGTAGGGTGGAGGGATGGGGGAGGGATAGCATTAGAGGAAATACCTAATGTAAATGATGAGTTAATGGGTGCAGCAAACCAACACGGCACATATATACATATGTAACAAACCTGCACGTTATGCACATGTACTCTAGAACTTAAAGTGTAAAAACAATAATAATAAAAAACTTCCAGCCCAAACAAAAATAGTATTAGCTACATTCAGAAGACCCCACAGAAAGGGTATAGTTTCCCACAGACACCCTACTAGAAAGCAGCTTCGTGGACAACATTCACCTCACCGTTTCCCAAAGATCATCATCATCACATCCTCTGCCTTAGAACCTATAACAGTGTCATTCATGGGGATGCCTCTCGCTCCTTAAAAAGTACTGAGAAAATTATGAGACAGAGAAGAAAGGGGGAGGGGATACAATTAAACTTTGTTTACAGAAGCCTGGGCTCTCCTGACTTTGATTTTGCTACTAAAGTAGCCGTGGGGAAATATTTCTTGAAACAATAAAAATGATTGACTTAGGTTTCAAAGTTTTTAACTCACAATAAAGAATTTTTTCTCCTTTCTCTTGCACTGTTTTTCATAATGATGGTATAAAACATATTAAGGTGTTATCACAAACAATTACTTCATGAGATTATATTTGAGTTTGGGGATTTCAAAGTCATTTTATTAAAATTAGCTGTATTGTTACACATTTTGTCTGGAAAGTCTAAGTAATGTCATTAAAAGCCCAGTTTAATTGCTTTGAAAAAGCTTATGCTTGACATGATATTCAGTCTCTTAGATTTCACAATTCATTCTCCATGTATTACTACTATGACTGACTTGTTTGTCTCTTTTTGAGTTCCTTCTAGAATTCAAAAGCATTAAGATTTAAGTGTGGCTGACTGCCACGGTTACTACTTGAGACCGTCATTACTAGACTGAATGAAGAGACGAACATAGAAATGGTAACAAAAAACAAAAGAAACTGTTTTAAGGAAAGGCTAGCATGGGGAAGAAGAGAGCTCCCTGCTTCTAGTGGTCCTCATTCCATCTTTGCATTCAGATTCAACTGGTTCATGGTTCATACTGGGGGAACAAGGTCCATGGTTGGGATCCATGGGTCCCTCCAGTCTCCTGTTCAACGGTCGTACACACCTTGGGAGCACCCACTCGGTTTGTTCATCTTCTGCAAAGATGTAAGTATACCCTCGTCCCCACGTTAGTAAATCTACCAAACAGAATCAAAAGTGTTTTCTTTTTTATTTATTTTTTATTTTTTTTGCTGTAGCCGGGAGGCACGCCATTGCTGAAACATTTGTAACTCAGCTTCTGCCTCTTTGGTTAATTGCCGTGGGGTAAAACTTTCCACTGAGAACAAGAAGCAGGCTCTTTCTGATTAACACACGGCACAGAGAAAGCAAATCGAGGCTTATCCTTCTCGTAAAACAGTATAGCAAAAAGCAATCCTTAAACCTTCAATTTGCACTGTACAGGTGGGTCCACTAGATGCTATGGGTGGTGATAGATAAATCTCTCTCCTAGTTGCACTTCCAAATCCCTGACCACCTCGCTTCTTCTTATGTGGAGAAGGGTACAATTTACAGGGAAGAAGCGAAAATTGAGCAACGTATTGTCCCAGTTCAAAAACCCAAAGATCTTGTGACATTACCACTACCTGAATTTCTCCTTCACAATCAAAATCAACAACTCCTGGGCCTGTAAGTTAAGACAGCTTTTACCAAAATCAATCCCTTGTATCTTGTTGGCAAAGATCCCCAAATACCAATGTGAATCTTAGTGAGTTTGTTTCTTTCATTTAATGTAATTGGTTCTCTGGGAGATCTAATCCTGCGTTTCCAGGTGTTCCTGGGGAGAGGGAATCCATGTGCCTCTGGAAACCCACCCCTGAAACGGAGTTGTGGCCTGGACAGGGAACGCCCTCATAGTTTGAGGTGCCCGGGTCCAGGCCCCCTTCTTGCTTCCCAACAGGGGGGTGCCGTTTTGATGAAATTTTGAGTGGTGTTGATTAGCCCAATGATTTCCTTTATTGCATCGAGGGCAAAGTCCGGCATTTTTTTTCTGTTAAGAGGGGGACTATGTTACAAGATCTCTTGTTCACAGAGGTCTGACGGCATTCTCTTTTGAAACGTCCAAGTTTTCTACACTTATGACACTTTCCCACTTTAGGGCTTGACCCTTGGCTTCTTTTAGATCTGTCAGCCACCAAATTTGCTATTGCCTGAGTCAATACTGCAGAGCAATGAAGCTCAGTTCCCACATCTTGACAAGCTCTGAGAAAGCCTCCCAAGTCCTCTGCACATCTCACAGGTGCCAGTGCACGTTTACAATCCATGAAAGCCAAAGCTAAAGTTAGCCTTTCTGTAGCCACCAAAGAAGACGATACAAGGCAATTTTCATTCTCCCTCTTCTGTTCACCATTTTCGATAGGCACTGTAGGTGGGGCAAAAAATTCTAAATAACAAAAAGATGGTACATACCAAAACTCCAAACAAACAAAAAAGAGAAAAGAAATAGCCAAATTCTTCCTCGTTTCCCTGTTTTAAAAACTTCCCATTCTTTGTACCTCTAGGGCACTGACCAGTACCTTTTTAGAGCACTAACCTTATGTCGCTGCCAACAGAGTTGTAATGGGCTTTCTCGTTCATCTAGTTGGTTTTAGTTTTTTTCTGTTCCAGCAGACCTTCCTCGCTCTAGTCCTATAGGACCCTATCTGTCCCTATCTGTCCCTGTCTGTTCCTCCAAATCTCTCCTAGTCTTTGCTAGTCTCTACTTTTGTACCTCTTTAGGACACAGACCAGTACCTCTTCAGGGCACTGACCTTATATTGCTAGTCTTTATCTATTCCTATCTGTCTCTGTCTGTCCCTATGGTACCTGTTAGTTCCTGCAAGTTCCTGCAAGTCCCCGTCTTTCCCTACCTATCTCTACTTTTCTCTACTTACTTATCTCTACTTACTTTTCTCTACTTACCTCTACTTATCTCTGTTTATCCCTGCAGACCTCTTCAGGTCCCTCCAGGTCCTTTCAGGTCTCTGTATGTCCCTGATAGTCTCTGAAATGTCCCTGTTCAGGCACCATTTGTAGTTGACTGTCACTGCTACTACATGAGACCATCACAAGTATGTTGAATTGAGCCTGGAACTCCTAGATGATAAACATTTTTTTATACCAACCTTCAACTTTTTCATTAAAATTAGATTGGGTAGATACTATAAATAGTGTCCCAAGCACTAGTGGAAAGATTCTACCATGTCTTACACTGGTTACTATGAGTTTGGAGTCAGAGGTATAAGGCTTGAAGAAAAAAGCACAATGAAATACAATTTTATCCACCAATCCGACATTTTTAAGTTTTAGGAAAATTGTGTCTTAATTCAAGCTGCTATAACAACAACAAAAACAACATACACTGACTGGTTTAAACAATAGAAATTTACTTCTCGGAGTTCTGGAGGCTGAGAGTCCAAGATAAAGGTGCCAGTCAATGGTTACAGGTAAAACCTCCATTCCTTGTCATGTCCTCATAAAGAGACAGAGAGAGAGACCAGACAGAGAGAGAGAGAGAGAGAGAGAGAAAGAGAGAGAGAGACTCATGACCTAATTATTTCCCAAAGGCCCTGTTTCCAAATATCATCTCAGTGGAATTAGGGTTTTAACATACAAATTTTGGGGGCGACGCAAGTATTTTTAGTCCATACCAAGTTAGATGCAACTTTACCAAAATTATTGTGGGTAATTTGACAAGGTAAGAGAGGTCAGTGAAACGCAAATTATATGATAACTTCTTGGTGCTCAGGCAGTATACCTGCCAGGTTGTCTCCTGGCTAGAGGAATGAAACAAGTAGTATTCAACAAGACTTTGGTAGTGAGTAAAACATGGCATATAAGTTGTTTTTTGTGGGAATGACATAGTCTAAATATTATTTTGATGACATACCTGTGTATTGACCTCTCTTGCATCAAAATGACATAAACATGGAGAAATAATTCTGAAAGTCAGCAGGAACTTGCAACTCACTTCTGGGAGGGGACCAGTTAGGGGAACTATGATATTAGACTGTGGCAATGTCGACCTCCACACAGGAGGAAAGAGTAGTCACATACCCTAAATCTTGCGTAACGTGGTGTCTTAAAATTTCAATAAATCTACTGAGTTAAATTAACAGCAAAGCAGAAAAATTTGCCAAAGCTATTTATAGCTCCACTAAAATGGAAGACAAGTTAAGAAAATGTGTGTTCTAAATAATCATGTCAGAAGTTAGTGTTTCCTTCAAATATAATCATAGGCCTAAGAATTTTTATCCAAGATTGATGAAATTTTATTTTACGCAACAATAAATGGAACACAAAGGCTGCACATCATTTTTTTGTCTTCTGTACATATCACTAAAAAAAAAAAGCATCAAACTAAAACAATGAATATAATATTAAATAGGGATTTTTTAATTGCTAATATTTTTAATATAGAGAAAGAATAATGTTTAATGATTAATTACAAAATTGATGAACTAGAATAGTGAGAAATCAAGGAGAGCTGAAATTTATGGAACTTTATGATAAACTAATAAAGGACAATTTTATTCCTAGCATTTTAATTATTTGCTTTATCATTGCATTTTAAATGCAATTATCAAAAATAAAGGTTATAACTAAGAATTTCAAAAATTCTCATTGTAGCAGAATTGGTAACAAAGAATTGAATACAGAGGGTGAATCTTATATTGCTTTATTATTATTAAAACTAAGGAAATATTTAGAATTTTGTGTACTAATTTAGCTACGAAGGAAAAGGAGGGCGTCATCATTTTAAAAATGTTTCCACATTGTCTACAGAAGCCTAGATTATTAAAAAAAAGAGTGGCCTCAGATAGATATCTGATTGGAATACACTACAAAATCTAGTAGTCAACTTGTTAAGATATCTGAAGATTCCATTTAAGACAGATTGTGAAAAAATATACTGGAAGAAATAGATTTTATTTAATATCCTTAAACATAAAACTTTGTTACCTTCTAAAACGCTATATTTAGTTTTATTTCTATTTTATAATATTGTATATGATGTGCTTTCTTTTCCAGGTAAAACTAACAAAAGACAATAAAATGTTATTAACTTGAGTTATGGTTAAAGTAGAAGAGCTGTGGATATTACACTACATGAAAAAAAATTCTTCCACAGATATTATTTGTGTATGCATACATCGATAGAGATACACATAGATAGATACAGATACAGATAGATATCGATATAGATATAGACTTGGCTATAGAGACTGTGGGTTTTTTAATACAGCAAGAAAAGAGAAATATTTATTTACACTGGATCAACAAAGGAACTAGGCTATTAACTCAGATTGTAATAGTCTAAAATTTTTCCAAAAATTAGGAAAAATAAAATATTTATATGAATTTTGCCTGGAAGTGTTTCAAAATAGTTTGCAAAGAGTGAGAATGAATTTCAACTTGTGAGTAAAGGGTAAAACTGAAATGAAAGTTAAAACAAATAGTTTCCCCCTTTCATTATTAGATCATGATTTATTGAAAACAATCTTGATTGTTAAATATTGATTAAAATTAATGAAGGTGCAGAGTTCCTAAGACCTTGTCATTTGAACGTTATGAATATCTTCACAATGAAAACATTATTCGTGTTATTTATGTGAGCTTATATGTACTTTTCCGCATAAATAATTTGTACTCTTAGTTAGAAACAAATGAACTATGGCTTTTGGTTTGGTTTTGTTTATTTATGAATAAACATTAAGAACTGTGCTTATGAAATTTTCAGGAAATATACTGAATGCTTTAATGTACTCTGTAACATTGCAACATATAATTTCCCCTCTTCCCTCACTTTTTGATGTAGCTATCATTGCTTTGAGTTTTTATTTACTGGTTATTTTAAAGAGCTTAATGGTCTCATTTACTTAAAAGTGGAATAATATTGGACTACTATTTTCTTTTTTTAACCTCTCTAGGTCATTCTACAGTCATTACCTTCCAGCCTATTTGTTTCTGCAGAATCTACGTATGTAATACCTATAAATTTTCTTTTCATATTTGTTCACTCATCCACATCATTAATAAAGTTATTAAGTGAAGACAAACCCAGCAGTAGCACTCCCTTACCACCTTGAAATATTGTGCTGATGTAGAGGTTGTATCTGATTTAATTCTTCAAGGATTATTAATGTATGTGGAACTAGCTTTTCAGCCATGGAAATCTTTAGTACGTATTTAAGAAAAAGTGATTTAATGCTCAGTAGGGAAATGTTGTCCAAAACAGTGCCTGAAAAAAGCAGGTATGTGTCCACATTGGGCACACTGCAGGTGGGGTATATTGTTGAGATAGGAAGGAAAAATAAAATGTGAGAAAAGGCAAGAGACAGAAAACAAAGTGCAGGTCGGGAAGAGACAACTTTAACTTCCACCATTTGTTAATCAATTCTGAAATATTTTCATTTTTACAGCCTAAAATTATGCATGTGTTGGCATTTTTTTAAATGGATGATATTACAGTTTTCATTCAAGCATTGGTATAGAGCCTAACCTTTTGTTATGGATGAGATGTTTAGATTCTTCATCTGGAAAATCTATTTTCCTGTTATTGAAGTCACATATATACATATATGTATATATACTTTTATATATGTGTCTATATATAGTAAAAATGTGTATATTTATTTTAAAAAGTATTTTGGTTCATGTTTTTGTTCTTAATGTTGTCCTACTAAAATTACTTAATCATAAATCTTTCTACTAACAGTAAGGCAGAAACAGAGTAACAAGGGATTTTTTTTTTTCTATTAAACTGAAGACAGAGAAGTTTGGTATTTATTTTTACCTAATATAGCAAACTTCAAAAAACAATCTATTTCAATAAAAATATTTTCCCCAGCTACAGCAATAAACAAGGGATAATATATAATCTAAAAATGTAATGGAAGAAAAGGCACAGCATTAAGAGATTGCCTTATTTTCCTTTCTAGCACATCTTGCTCTTAAAATATCCATTAGTCTATAAAGGGTGCTATTTACAAGGATCAGTTTCCCTGTATTTCTGGGTTGAATGATCCTCTACTTTTACTATCCTTTGCTAAACATGACAAAATAAGAAAATAAAAGATAAATATGAGATGAAGACCTCAAATGACATCAATTTCATTGCCTCTAAAAAGTTGTGATGATGAATGTTACCACTACTCAACTGAGTTTATGAAAAGGCAAATATACTTTTAAAAATGTAGGGGTGCTTATACAAAGACTTATGTGTTTACGTTTACTTTTTTTATAAAGCTGATTTAATCAAAAGATTTAGTTAAGGCCGGGCGCGGTGGCTCACGCCTGTAATCCCAGCACTTTGGGAGGCCGAGGCGGGCGGATCACGAGGTCAGGAGATCGAGACCATCCCGGCTAAAACAGTGAAACCCCGTCTCTACTAAAAATACAAAAAATTAGCCGGGCGTAGTGGCGGGCGCCTGTAGTCCCAGCTACTTGGGAGGCTGAGGCAGGAGAACGGCGTGAACCCGGGAGGCGGAGCTTGCAGTGAGCCGAGATCCCGCCACTGCAGTCCAGCCTGGGCGACAGAGCGAGACTCCGTCTCAAAAAAAAAAAAAAAAAAAAAAAGATTTAGTTAGTAATTTATTGACTCAAATACTTTATGCCTTCTATTTCACATTTTTTACAGGTTTATAAGTCTAGATACCTATGTCAATTAGTGAATTTTCTACCAAGAGTTCATGTTTTGTTGCTTAAAGGCAGATAATTTTTTTATTTAAATAATATTAAAAAGAGGAAAATATTTCAAAATACCAAGATTGGGAGGTGTCTGGGAGATTTATATGTATTGCTTTTATTAACTGTCTAGCACTGGATTTATAAACCAGCTTATTTTTTTAATTTAAAAGCTCTCTGCCTTGCAATTTAATTCACATGATCTGCATTAACCATGCCATATTCAAAATTTCATTGATAAATTCTATCCAGTAGTCAATATCGAATTGTAAACTGATGTAATGTGCTTTAAAATATGAAGATTTAATCTTTAAAATATGAATATTTGATTGAATAATTACTACCACTAAAATCATGTTTACTTATTAGAATTATCATATAGGAATTGTTTTATAATGTATATGTTAATTGAATGTGATTTCTTGATACTTAGGATATACGTTAAGTATACATAAACAAATTGGAAATAAAGTTCTGATATACTGTTCCATGAAAGTTTCAAATCTTTATATTAAAGATTACCATTTGAGTCAGAGGCAATGATAGGATTTTCTGTACTTTATCCACATGTTTATATATACACATATATATATGTTTTCATATAACCTTTCATAAGGATAGAAAAGAACTATGAATGTTTCTCCATCAGGCATCTTTCAAATACAACATAACAATAACTTCCTTAAGTATTTTATTTAGGCAAAAACTATAAAATGATGGAATGGAAAAAGAATTCTCAATGATCAAACCAAAGCAATTATATTTGATTCTGAATTTTAAAAGATTAGTCCATCAATTTATATTTAGAGGTTAGAAAACACATTCTGAGAGACAGAAAATTATATTACTTTTCTAACTTCCTGGAGAATATTGTGCTTTGTCAAATTTTACATTTATGAGAAGTTTTATATTAAAGCTATAAAATCTATCAGGGTAAGTTAATATGAGTATTTGAAAGTTTCACTGTTAAATTTATATTATCACATATTAAATGAAAGAACTGTTAACTGTGTACTGAATTCAAAAGTTAATATAGCTTCTCTCCTTTTTAAGAAATGGGACACAATATTAAAAAATTAAAGAGTTTTCAAATATTTATACTTAAATTTATATCTAAGGAATTATATATAGAATGCATACCTTTCAAGTAGATACTATTGTTGCTGTTAAGATTATTGTCAACAAAATTTAAATACACAGACTATTAAATAAAGAAATTAAAACAACAAAAAATAACCTCTAGGCCAGGTGTCCTGGTTAACCTGTAATCCCAGCACTTCAGAAGCTTGAGGCAAGAGGATTGCTTGAGACCAATAGTTTGAGACCAGCCTGAGCAGCAAACTGAGACTCTATGTGTATCAAAAAATGTTTTAAAAGTAGCCGGGTACTGAGGCAGGCACTTGTAATCCCAGCTACTTGGGAGGCTGAGGTGGGAGGTATGCTTGGGCCCAGGATTTTGAGGCTGCAGTGAGCTGTGATTGCACCACAGCCCTCCAGCCTGGGAGAGAGAGGAGACCTTGTTTCTAAAAACTAACTAAATAAACAATAATGTAAAAAATCTCTCTTTAGGTGTATGCTTCTCTTTGCCAGTGTTTAAGGGTTAAAAAAATCAATATGAGAGATTAACTAAAGTACCAATTTAGAGTTAAATGAGTGCATTTGCCACTTGAGTGCCGATTGCCTCGCATGACAGACAATATTAAGTGCTGATGACTTTAACTTTCACAAGTTTTATGCGATAGTGGGATAAATTTTTACTTAAAATGTGTTAAACTTCGGTTTAATTGCACTAATTAATGTCTCAATAGATATACTGTTGTATCTACCTCAAAATGCAAACACCAATGAAGTAATTCATCAGAAGACTTGATATGAATAAAGAATGGAACAGTAAAGTTGAAGATAAAAAACATAGAAATTGAATAACAAATACAAGTAAGAAACAAGAAGAGTGATAAATAGCAGAACATGGCATCCAAGAGCTGAAGGACAGCTCTGGATGCCTAACTTGAACGGATTCATGAAAGAGAACAAGGATGATAAATACTTAAAAACAAAATGAATGAGAATTTTCCAAAAGAAGTGAAGGCAATCAAATCGTAAATCCAAGAAACATTTCTAGAGATATAGGGGCTACGTAAACAAACTAAAAAAAAGGTAAAAAATTATATGAAGACAAACATAGTTGTGTTGTATGTATTATATAGTTAAATATACGTTATACACAGGCACGAAGAAAAGAAGTACAGGAAACCTGTCCTCAAGAACTATTTAACTGTATACTGGAAATTTTAACCAGTGTACTAAAGTAAGAAAAATAAACAAAAGGCATACAAATTGGATACGAAGAAATAAAACTCTATTTGATTCGTGGATGGTCTATGCACAGTATTCCATTATGTACAAAATAATTAAAATTATTAGCAGTGAAGCTGCTAGAAATAAATTGTGAGTACAAAATAATTAAAATTATTAAAAGTGAAGCTACTAGAAATAAATTGTGAGTTTTGTAATTTCACACTATGCACTATAACACTATAATGTTAATATACAGAATTATTTTTTATATATAATTGTTGCAGGAAAAACCCAGACCTGTGTAGAAGAACATCCCTCTGCCAAAGAGATAGTGCTGAAATAACAAAGAAGGACTCAGACAAGTCCAGCTTCATGAGAAGATGAGTTTATTAGGACTTACGTAAAGGGCAGCGGGATAACTCCAGAGATCCGCCTGCTGCCCACCATCTTCCTCTAAGCTGCTTTTAAGCTACTTTTTTCTTTTCTTTTCTTTTCTTTTCTTTTCTTTTCTTTTCTTTTCTTTTCTTTTCCTTTCCTTTCCTTTCCTTTCCTTTCCTTTCCTTTCCTTTTCTTTTCTTCTTTTCTTTTCTTTTCTTTTCTTTTCTTTTCTTTTCTTTTCTTTTCTTTTTTTTCTTCTTTTCTTTTCTTTTCTTTGACGGAGTCTCGCTCTGTCGCCCAGGCTGCAGTGCAGTGGCGGGATCTCGGCTCACTGCAAGCTCCGCCTCCCAGGTTCACGCCATTCTCCTGCCTCAGCCTCCCGAGTAGCTGGGACTATAGGCGCCTTCCACCACGCCCGGCTAATCTTTTGTATTTTTAGTAGAGACGGGGTTTCACCACGTTAGCCAGGATGGTCTTGATTTCCTGACCTCGTGATCCGCCCGCCTTGGCCTCTCAAAGTGCTGGGATTACAGGCATGAGCCACCGCGCCCGGCCAAAGCTACTTTTCTGGCTCTTTGCTTACTACATGTGATGAAACTGTTCTTCTTGGTATGTACCTAGATATGCTCCCGGATGTTTTGGTTTTCAGGGACATCTGCTCCTCGGCTGAGCACCATGAACTTTGCTCACCATCTAGCCTTCAGGACTCAAGCAGTCAACATATGCCCTTAAATTCCCTGGTGGGGGACCCGCTACTTTACAACACTATTAATGAACAATTGGAAATTAGAATTTTTTAAAGTTACATTTAAAGTAGCACAAGAAACATTAAATTCTTAATCTAAAAAAACATGGAGAAAGGGTAACAAAAACTAAAAAAACACTGGTAAAAGAAATCAAAGAAGAAGTAAATAAGTAAAGAGCTTGGTAGCCAATATTGACAATAAATTAATTCTGTTCAAACCAAACAAAAAATTCAATACAAAAGTTCAATCCAGTTAAAATTCCTAACAGGATATTTGCAACTAACAAACAAGCTCATTCTAAAACTTTCAACAGAGAAGCAAAGGAATTATAATGGAAAAATCATTTTGACAATAAAAAAATTGAAGAATCCACTGATTTATATGTATACTATATACATATGTATATCTGTTGGTGACTTTAACCATATGATTCATAATTTCAAAAACTGGTGAATAGTCAAAAAGTTATATACTGTATCTATTTAATATCACATTAGGAAGAAAAAGAAACAAATCTGATAACATAACAACATGAATGTGTCTCAGATTTATTATGCTATTTTAAAAGCCAGATTTAAAGGCCTATTCAGGATGCTGTTTGCTCCCTTGTGTATGACATTCTAGAAAATATAAAACCATAGGGACAAAGAACAGCGATTTCCAAAGACTGAGGGCAGCAGAAATACTGATTCAAAAGGCACAAAAGGGAATTTTTCTAGGTGATGTTACTGTTCTATATCTTGAGGATGGTATTTGTTATATAACCATCTATGTTTTCAACACACTGCATACTTAAAAAGATGACTTTTGGCATATATAAATTTTAATTCGATAAACCTGAGTTTTTAAAACAAAGATTTTCTGTAACCAGTAGACTCATAACACTGTCTTCCTGCCATTGACTAAGATGGTTTCAATAGTGGATTCCTCTTGTTCATGCCAGCCAATGTGTCTTTTGTTTAACCAAAACCCTTGAAATATCTTTGCCTCAGGCTTTTATTGCAATTTCCTGTAATTTAAAGACTTCACCCTCCTATTCACAGGAGTTAGTATCTTGAAATGGTAATAACTTGAAAACAGCTATGGTGGGAGGACTTACTCTTTGAAGTGTAAATTACATACATGCAGCATACACCATGTATCAAGACTTTCTTTTTTTCTGGTTTTTTTTTTTTTTTTTTTTTTTTTGAGATGGCGTCTCACTCTGTTGCCCAGTCTGGAGTGCAGTGGTGTGGTCTCAGCTCGCTGCAACCTCCACCTCCCTGGTTCAAGCGATTCTCCTGCCTCAGCCTCCTGAGTAGCTGTGACTACAGGCACCATGCCACCACGCTGGGCTAATTTGTGTATTTTTTATTAGAGACGGGGTTTCACAATATTGGCCGGGCTGGTCTTGAACTCCTGACCTTGTGATCCACCCGCCTTGGCCTCCCAAAGTGCTGGGATTACAGGCGTGAGCCACCGTGCCCAGCCGAGTTTCTTTTCATTTGGATCACTAGTTTACCAACATCACTGCCTTTACCCAACTCTATTAACAATTATTTAACCTAGTTTATCAAGTCACTTGTCAAAATAGAGATTTATATTGTTTATATATTTAATATTTTACAAATCTGTATTTTTGTACTTCACTGTCTAATTAAACCTTTGGGGTAACTTTTATATGTATCCCAAATAGGACAGGACAGTCATTCATTTCTTATAATGTATCAGCTAATTTCAAGGAGACATCGGAATTTTTGTGGAGACATCGGAATCTGAAGAGCAAAGTGATTCAAATTGGGTCACAGATTAAATAATTTTTAAAATGTTTACTTTAAATATCTTAAAAAACTTTAAGGAGAAAATTAATTTTTCTATATTGTTCTTGGCCTTAAAATATACATTAAGCATTAGTTTTCTGGCTTTTGATGTTTTTCATAAAATTAGCTCAAAAAATGCAAAAAGCTTGTATGAATATATAAGGGCCTTTGTAATCATATTGTAATTGCTTGACATAGTTAATTTCTTGATTTCTGACTCTGGCATCTGAGTTTCATAATTGTTATGTAATTACTCTATTTTTTTAAATCATGTTTTTAAATGGAAGTTTCAGTCTCAGATCTTTTCTATTTCATGCAATAAATAATTTTTAGCAGTAAAGAATTATTTGGCAATAAATATTTTTTGAGACGTCATGCTCCAATGATATAATTTAGTCCACTTTCTGCTTGAAAATATGCAAAGAAGAAATCTCTTGTTGGTATTAATTTCAGAAGTCGTCTTTGCACACACAATGATGATCATTCTGTTTTCCTTAGATAATTCATGGTAGTGTAACCCAATAATATAATCTTAGATGTGTAACTTACATACATGCACGTGGCACATGAAGCATGTGGTGTACTGAGATGAAAATAAGCTTGTAAAAGTCATTGGTTACCTAACTGCGGCTTGGTACCTAGCACACCCTACCTGCAACGGTCCCAACAGTTACACTGGCTCTATTTGACTTAGATGATGCAGGGGTGGGTTCAAAATCCCTCTCTTTTTCCTAATTACATACGACTGAGCATCCCTTCCCTTGTCTCAATCTGGGATTTTGAGAGTTTATTATAAGATCCCCAGTGAAAATCCACCCAGGTGGTTCTTCCCTACCCTCTTTAAATGTTCACACCCTAGTGTGAACAAGCTAGAAGTGGATTCTTTGAGGCAGTGACAACAGACCATGTTCAACTTCTACACTCCTTGATGTTTGTGTATTGGAAGAAGGTGTGACAAGATGCCAGGCACCAGAATTTCAGGTTGGTCTTTATGGAATTCTTGAACTCTAGGGCTGCATCCCTCCCTATAATGAGGCAAAGTTGGGGAAGTAGAAAGTTCAATGCAGCCTATGATTTTTACCTCATGGTTTTCTATAACCTAATACATATCACATTGAATTATGTGTTAACTCGTGAGCATTCAAATTAATAGAGCATGCTGTACCAAAATATTGTCATTATTTTGGTTATTATAAATTATATATGGCCATGATCAGTGCTATAGGGCAAGACTATATCATTTTTTACTTCTAGGCTAAAAGGATTATGTTCCTACACATGAATTATGTAACTTTTTAAAAAAAATAGTGATATTTTTCTATTAGAAGTTAAAGCAATTAGTTCTTTACAACATTGGCTACGTACTCAAATCAACTGATTCCTGGGTTTCCCCTCAATCCAAGTAAATTAGGCAGAGAGCAAAACTAAGGAACAGTATTTTCAAAGCTGACCAGGATTGACAATGACTGGTATTCAAATAGCTGTGAATTTGTGCAAATGTAGCAGAAGACAGCAAAGGGTTCTGGATATGCCAATTATTATTTATTTATTTTTATTATACTTTAAGTTCTAGGGTACATGTGCACAATGTGCAGGTTTGTTACATATGTATACATGTGCCATGTTGGTGTGCTGCAGCCATTAACTCGTCATTTACATTAGGCATATCTCCTAATGCTATCCCTGCCCCCTCCTCCCACCCCACGACAGGCTCCGGTGTGTCGTGTTCCCCACCCTGTGTCCAGGTGTTCTCATTGTTCAATTTGCACCTATGAGTGAGGATATGCGGTGTTTGGTTTTCTGTCCTTGCGATAGTTTGCTCAGAATGATGGTTTCCAGCTTCTAGAACTGGAAATACCATTTGACCCAGCCATCCCATTACTGGATATATACCCAAAGGATTATAAATCATGCTGCTATAAAGACACATGCACACATATGTTTATTGCGGCACTATTCACAATAGCAAAGACTTGGAACCAACCCAAATGTCCATCCATGATAGACTGGATTAAGAAAATGTGGCACATATACACCATGGGAATACTATGCAGACATAAAAATGTATGAGTTCATGTCCGCTGTAGGGACATGGATGAAGCTGGATATGCCAATTATTATTAAAATAATTTTTGGGTTAAGCTGATTTTTACTTTTCTGAAAGAAAGATCCAAACACAATGCCTATAATAAATCTTAGAAATTGTCTGTCTCCATTGGTGAGATTAGTCAGTATAAACACTAACATATATAAATAAAACCAAACAACAGTTACTCTTTTCCATAATGTTATGCTTTTGTGTTCAATGAAATATTTAATTTAATTACTAAATTTCTAGCATTTCTCTGAAGGATAAAACAAATAAGCAAACAAACAAAGTAACAAGAAAAACCCAAAATAACTTCAATGAATTAAAACTGTCTAGTGCTACCTTTCCTATAATTATTGTCACCAAATAAAGTGCCTATTGGACAGAGATGGCTGGTTCACTGCAATCTCCATTGACCCTTTCGCCATCAGTAAAAATGTCCTCTAATGCTTAGCCGGACACATGATCACCAGGAATAAATGCTATATTCCCAATCTTTTCTTAACATAGGGCATGACACATGTGACCAATTTCTGACCTATGTTGTGTAAGGGGAAGTAACGCGTGTAACTTCTGAGAAGCTGACTTACATGCAGGGGGCATGTCCTATCTCTGTGCTTTCTTCCTTCTTGGAAAGGCAGCTCTGATGGCTAGATCTGGGGCAGCCATGGGGCAACATGAGAAGCAGCAGTACTTGGAGGTGCAAAGCAACAAGATAATAGCCATCTGGATTTCTGATGATCATGAAGACATCATATCTGAACTGGGGTGTCTGCATATCCCTGAGAGGCAAAAAATGTCTATATTGTTTCCATGAGTTCTTAGCCTACACTGCACATACGAGTTATCAGAGAACTTTCAAAATTTATCAAATGCCCAGTCCTATTAAGGTATCTGGAAACTTATTCTTGGCCTATAATTTTCCACTGGGTCAACTATAACCCAGGTTTATCTGTCTTCTATATCCAGAGACTGTACCCTGCTCCTATGCAGTCTTGCTCTCTCCATAGCTTCATATGTGCAGCAGAACTCACCCTCTGCCTTCCATAACCAGGAGTGGGGCGCTACCTTCCCTCACCTGACTCCTGTGCTGCAGAAACTTGCTAAGAAACACGGAGCATATGTTTCAGACTCAGAATAAAATTATTTTTACAGTCACCAAGTTTTAGAGATTCTGATTTAGTGTATCTGGGTGTGTCCAGGGTACCAGTGTGCTCCCTTCTCACTCAAATGAAAATTACTGGAACATGATGTTATTTGGTATTCAGTTACACAAAGCTGAGTGTAACTGATTGGTTAATAGTAAAAGTTTTGATTTCAGTAAAATAGTTGAATTATTCTAAACCATAACTTTGTAGCTACATGATTTGGGTGAGATGATTTTTTTTTTTTTTTTTTTTTTTTGAGAAGGACTCTCGCTCTGTCACCCAGACTAGAGGGCAGTGGTGTGATCTTGGCTCACTGCAACCTCCTCCTCATGGGTTCAAGTGATTCTCCTGCCTCAGCCCCCGAGTAGCTGGGATTACAGGTGTGCACTACCATGCCGGACCGGTTTTGTACTTTAGTAGAGATGAGGTTTCACCATGTTGGCCAGGCTGGTCTCAAACTCCTGATCTCAGGCGATCCACCTGCTTTGGACCCCCAAAGTGCTGGGATTACATGAGTTAGCCACCACACCCTGCCTGAGATGATGTTTTTGAGCCACAGTATTCCCATCAGTAAACCGGACATACTAATTGTAATTTCAGGTATTTTTGTGACACATATATTATTGAAATTATTATTATTAAATTACTGACTTTAATAATACATTCTTAAATTAGTTATTATTATAATAACATAATTAATATTGAAAGCAGTTTATAAACTTGCGTGGTGCTAGGGGGCACTACAATGTAAAGGAATTTATGTAATAAAAGTAAAGATGCAACGTTTGATTTTATTTTTCATGTTTTGTAATGCAAAAATTAACTGTCCTTTTATTTAAATTACAGCACATGCAAATTAACTTTTAGGTATATAATTATTCTGAATTATTTCAGAAAACTATTATGGTCTCATCACTGGATTAAAAAATGTAATAATATTCTCAGTTTAAAGAAAATGCACAGGTTTTAAATCCTCTGTGATAAGGGCCCATGAACTTGGAGCTGCTGATTTTTTTTTTTTTTAATTTGCAGGGTTTTTACATAACAAATTATCAGAAACCAAAGCACCCAGATATCAGACTATGAATAGAAAACATCTTTCCTGAACAAGTACAGGCTTTATTACTTAATTGTATTTACACTGATGAGTGCACACAAAGAAAAATCAATTTGTGGGAGTTTATTTCATTGGTATTGAAATTGTATCTTCCTTGAAAAACTTGGCACACAGTGCCTAGTTTGTCTCCCAGTTCATTATATTATTATTTTACTATATTCTGTGCCGTTATGTAGTTTTATATGGGCTCACTAGTTGAGTGTTCAAAATTGCTTTTCTGAACTATAGAATATTAACTTCCAGTATTTACCAAAAAAATGTTATTTATTAAAAAAATCACAATAAAAGGGCATAAAATAAATATAAATACTCAACATTTTCAAGGTTCTTGTGGAATCATTCTGAAAGCATTAAAAGGAGAGGCTGGAAATCTGCGTTTATAATATTGGTCATTTCCCTACCTACTTAATAGTAACATTAAAGCTTCCTCAGTATGCTTTCTGAAACAAGTAAAAATGTTCTTTTACCTTAACTTATACTGTGGAAAATCTCAAAGGAATGCTAGAAAACCATTCCAATGTACTCACCCAAACAACACAAAATACCCACACCTTCTCCAATTCAAGCAATCATTTAATTAATCGAAAGAGCTGAGATGCACTCCCTCTCTACCTCATAAGGGCTTCCATCATGAACTTGATTGTGTCCTAAATTCAGTCCTCCAGGAGAAGCTCATCACCCTCCCCATGTCCTGAATGTCAGAATCCAAAGCTGGAAACTGCATCCTACTTAATCTTTATGTTTTTTGAAAAAGTTTATCTTTCTTCCCAGGAATAAAAACATCTATTCTCTGAGGCACATGTAAGCATTTATCCTTCAGTATAATGAACTTTTTTAGTCATATTGTTAATGACAAGCTTACATAAATTTTTTTCTGCTCCCACCTTCAAAGCTCCAAGCCCTGTATTCTTACAGGATGATATTCATAAACTATTTGACCTTAGCTTCCCTCCATTTAAGGCTTTCTTGCTCAGAATCACTCCTTTTATTAGTTATCTGTTGATGCTTAACATATTACCTCCAAAACTTAGTGGATTAAAACAACAAACATTCATTATGCCAACTTCTCTGGGTCAAGAACTATATCAGAATTAGTAAGGCCCTCTAGCTCAAGGACTCTCATAAGGCTGCCATCATTTAAAAGCCTTACTTAGGGAAGATTCACTTCTAAGATTAATCATGTGGCTGGGGGCAGTCCCCAGGTCCTTCCTTGCTGGCTGTGACTGGTGACACTGGCTCCGTGCTATGTGGACTTCTTAATAGGCAGCGCTCAACATAGAAGTCAGCTTCCCTTACAATGAAAGAGAGAGAGAGGATTCCCAAGACAGAAGCCACAGTCTTTGTGCAATCTAATGTTGGAAGTGATATCCATCACTTCTGCCACAGTCTATTTGATAGTGAAGTGAGATAAATTCAACTAGGACAACAGAGTAGAAGATTCCTCAAGGAGTTACCTCTACCAGGGGTACAAGTGACATGGAGCAATTTTAGAGGCTGCTTACCAAACCCATGAAATGTATAATGACAAAACATGATATTCCTCTTAAATGACTAAATAAGCACACCACTCTTTGATCAATCTCCTGTCTGTTCAGTGTGGCAACAATTCCCACTGCAGCTGTTCTCCTGCCTCACTAAGACTTTCAATCCACTGGTGCCTCAGCCTTTGCCTATAGCATTATGATCCTCCTGCGGTCAGTTACTCCCACAAGCAAACTAACAATGGCTCTTCTCAACACTGGCTTTATGTTAGAATTGCCTGAGGAGGTTCCAAAGATACATATGAGTGCCTTGGCCCCAATTGAGATTGGCTGACCCAGTGTCTCTGGGACCTGGCATTCTATTATGATACTAATATGCAGCAATAGTTGGGAATCGATATTGTAGATTCAATTACTGAATATTTTAAAATGTAATTGCCAGTAACATAAAACCAGAATTGACATACTGCTTCCCTTGGGCTAAATACAATCCATCTCCTATTTTTTAAATAAATTCTTATTGGAACGCAGCCACATTTTCTTATTGTCCATGGTTGCTTTTGCAGAACATGGGAGAACTGAGTACTTCCTACAGAGACAATATGGCTCACAAAATAAAAATATTTACTATCTGGCCCTTTGCTTAAAAAAAATTACTGAGTTTTGACCTATCCCCTTTCACATCTTCATTTTTCTCTCTCTCTCTCTCTCTTTCTCTCTCTCGGTTGCTTTTGGTTTTGTCCTTTTTAGAAGCACATTGCAACCTCTTCTCTAGATGAACTCAACTATCTGATTTCTGCATATTTCTCAGTCCATGACTGCTGCTGAAGAATGTCATGCAAGAAAACAAACTGATAATATTTTAAGACGATGATCACCATTGGAAACCGGGTTTTCAATTGTGCCTGACATAACTTTTTCAATCTCTACAATCCTCTAATTTCTGACACTCTCTTCTCCCTTCTCACTTCTCTCTCTCTGCAGATGACTTTGCTACTGCAACACAGAGAAAATATAAGTCTTTATACTCATAGTCTTTCAACTACCTGGCACTAAATCAATATACCTGTCTCCATTTGCAACTATTATCTTTCTCCCTGATCCTGTCAAGATGATCTTACTCTTTGTTGTAGGCTACTTTCCTCCTCTGACTTCAGAATTAGTTCTCACCTGACATTAAGAGGAAATTTACATTGTTACCAATTTCTCTACTGAAAATCCAACTTTTTATTTCCACGTAGATGCTTCCCATCGTGGTTTCCATGAACTTTATTGTCTCAATGATTGTCATTTTAGATCTATAACTCTTTTTCTGAGCTTTGGGTCTATATAAGCCAAATTTCTGCTCAACGGAGCAACCATATCCCCACTTTAATTGGACAAGTCTCTCCAGAAAATAAATCTCCTATTTCCTGTTGTGTTAAATGAAGAATAATTACTAAGGTATTCAGTAATGATAAAGAATCTGGGAATTTAACTGTTCTTGATATGAAATTTCAAATTACACACTTTTTTTGGGGGGGAAGCCAAACCCACCTCCAGCATTTTATTCCCACACATGATAAGCTTGTCCAAGGTGTGTGTGGTTTGGATGACTTTATATTTTGTTAGCTTTCCTCTTCCCTCTACATATGGACACTATGTTTTGTCAAAAGGAAATGTGTACACTAGATGCTTGTTAAAAATAGCAAGGAAGACTATTCAGGACTATAGCAATGGGGGAATAATATAGCTATAGTAGAGAGAGATTGAACTAAAATTTCTCCCAGCATGGAGCTGGAAATTTATAAGCAAAGAGCTGAGGGAGTGAGTCAGTGGATAGAAACTAATTAGATATTAAGGGTGGCGGGGGGTGGGGTGGCGGGGAGCGGGGTTCTTGCTAAACTGCATTATTGCTAAAGGCATGCCAAAGTGATAAGATATCCAGGGCGAAGTGATTCTCAGTGAACTGGCTTAGCAGGCGTCTTTGTTAAACTGGGCCTGAGAAGAGGGACTGGAGAAGAATGATTAAACTTTGGTCAAGATGGGAATCTGTCAGTTTTGGCCTTCTCTAATCTATGTGGTTACGCTGCTCGAGAGCTTGCTAAGATGTATTCAAGAAGGCTAGTGTATTAGCTTGTTCTCACACTGCTGCTATAAAGAAACACTTGATATGGGGTAATTTATAAAGCAAAGAAGTTTAATTGGCTCACAGTTCTGCAGGCTGAACAGGAAGCATAGCAGCATCTGCTTCTGGGGAGGCGAAAGGGAGATTTTACTCATGGCAGAAGGCAAAGTGGAAGCACGAATCTTGCAAGGCAGAAGCAGGACTGAGAGGAAGAGAAAAGGTGCCACACACTTTCACCAACCATATCTCATGAGGATGCTATCATGATACAGCATCAAAGGGGGAAATCTGCCCCCATGATCCAATCACCTCCCACAAGACCCCACCTCCAACATTGGGGATTACAATTCAGCATGAGATTTGGTAAGGGACACAGATCCAAATCATATCAGCTAGTAATAAAGTGTATTAAGATTTAGGAGTTGATATGGTTTGGCTGTGTGTCCCCACTCAAAATCTCATGGTGAATTGTAAACCCCATAATCCCCACATGTCAAGGGAGAGACCAGGTGGAGGTAATTGAATCATGGAGGTGGTTTCTCCCAAGCTGTTCTCATGACAGTGAGTGAGTTCTCTCGAGATCTAATGGTTTTACAACTGTTCGGCAAGTTCCTCCTTCCATCCTTCTTTTTCCTGCCATTTTGTGAAGAAAGTGCCTGCCTCCCTTTCACCTTCCACTACGATTGTAAGTTTCCTGAGGCCTCCCCAGTCATAGGGAACTGTGAGTCAATTAAACCTCTTTCTTTAATAAATTACTCAGTCTCAGGTATTTTCATATAGGAATGTGAGAAAGGACTAATACAGGAATCTTCAAGGACATCCCATCCAAATTAAAAGTTGTGTATCACTTGCTTCTTTGACCTCACCTACTGTATTAATTACATTTATATGTATATATACACACACACACATATGCAAACATATATATATATATATCAGCTTTACTAAATGGTCTCTATATTCTCAGTTTTATTGTTTCATTAGGAAAAGAAATTGGCTGGGATATTGGTAACAGTATATTTCTGCTTATGCTGTAATACCCAAGTTGAAACATTTGATAGAAATTGATTGATGCTTGTTACCTGATGTTTTAAAATAAGGGCTAAATAGTTATATATCTCAATATTATCGTTATCCTGGATGTGACAGGGTACAGATGTGACAATGCATGTTTTTATAGTGTGTTCTACTGGTGATTCAAATAACTAAGGTATTGCCATTGGCAACATAATTTTTGTAAATATTGAAAGACTCTGGGAAGTTTCTACAATAAAAAGACTTTTTCTCTTCAATTTCCATAGTGGTTGCATTCTGAAAAATTTAGTTTGTATTAAGCCATTCAAAGTATTTACATGTAAAATATTCATTTCTTGACTAAATAATTACAGATGATCACTTACGTGGCTATCCATTGGGGCATTTGATGGGAATATTTTTTACAATGTAGGATCGCAGGATATCTAGTATTGTTTGTCCTCACATTGGAAATACAATTACTGCCTTCTGATCGTTTTGACAATGGAGACACTCAAGCATTTCTAAACAGAAAAAGCTGGTACAAGCACACTTGAAGCACAATACATCTGAAAGGCACATGAAGAGTTCAATAAAATGTTTAACAACTGAAAAGACTGCAGAAATAAATTTAAGTATTCTGTCTATACTAAAATCCAAATGTAAATTATATTAGAGTTGCAGCTATTTAATACGCTATTTCAGCATTCACATGCTATTTTCATTTTCTATTCAGATGTTTTTTCCACTGCCAGACACTTTCTAACAAGTCCTTCAACCCTCTTTATAATAACTTATGAAAATATTTGTTACATTATGCTCAATGATTTCCTCAATTAAAATGATATATAAAATAAGAACAAGTGAGAGGAAAAAAACATAGTTTGTGCATCTGTTTTGTGATAAATATAGTAGTTAGATCTATTTTATATAAATTTTCTCATTAAACCCACATCAAACTTTTTCTCCTGCATTTTTTAAATGGAAAATGTGAGGTTGATAGGAGTTAATTAACTCTACTAATAGCTGACGGTAATGAAACTATCATTACTGAGAACTATAGTTGGTTTTTACAATTATTTCATTTTTTGTTGGTTTGTTTTTGTTTTTGTTTTTTGAGATGGAGTTTCGTTCTTGTTGCCCAAGCTGGAGTGCAATGGCGTGATCTCAGCTCACTGCAACCTCTGCCTCTTGGATTCAAGTGATTCTCCTGCCTCAGCCTCCTGAGTAGCTGGGATTACAGGCACGTGCCACCACGCCCAGCTAATTTTGTATTTTTGGTAGAAATGGGGTTTCTCCATGTTTGTCAGGCTGGTCTCGAACTCCCAACCTCAGGTGATCCACCCACCTCCGCCTCCTAACGTGCTGGGATTACGGGTATGAACCAGCATGCCCGGCCAATCTATATCTTTTAAGTGTGAAATGCTTTCAGAAAAATATTTCAACCAAAAGGGAGAAATGTGGAAGTTGTGAGCACCAAAATGGAGTCACTTACATCAAACCATAAAAAAATGAAGCTGGGAGGCCATGAAAGAGGGGCCTTCATGTACATATGTCTATAATAAGAACTGCTGCAATGGTTCTCTCAAAAACCACGAAAATGTTAGATATGATAATTCTATGAAGACATCTCTCCAGCAACAGCCAATATTATCAATGAGTATTTGCCAACTCTTGTAACAAGCTTCTCTGGCCCATGAGGTTTATTACAAAACTTACATAAAATTTCTCTTTTAAGATTTTTGCCTTCCTGATATGGTTTAGATTTGTGTCCCCACCCAAATCTCATGTCGAATTGTAATCCCCAATGTTGGAGGAGGGGCTTGGTGAGAGGCGATTGGATCATGGGGGTGGATTTCCTCCTTGCTGTTCTTGTGATAGTGAGTTCTCATGAGACCTGCTTGTTGAAAAGTGTGTGGTATTTCCCCTTTGCCCTCTTCCCCCTGCTTCGGCCATGTAAGACGTGCCTCCTTCCTTTTTGCCTTCTGCCATCATTGTAAGTTTCCTGAGGCCTCCTCCAATCATGTTTCCTGTACAGCCTATGAAATCATGAGTCAATTAAACCTCTTTTCTTTATAAATTACCAAGTCTCAGGTAGTTCTTTGTGCTAGAACAAACTAATACAGTCCCTCAGCTTCTTTGGTGCCTAAGGTCCACCATAGCATGTGTATTTCAAATTGCAATTTACTGCTATTTCCTGAATACACTCTTTATTTTAGAGAGTCAGTATCTCTGTTGTTTAAGTTGACATAATCTAATGTCAGAAGCAAGATGCAAAGGCTCCAAGCCTTCTTTGTTACTTACAGTTACAGCACTGTTATCCAAACAGTAACAAAGAAAGCCTTTGGAAGGCTTTCAAGTATCTGGCGATACTTGAAATTGTGTATGATACTCACCTGAGCCTATTGTGATCTTCACTTGTACAAGTTGTCTTTATGCTGCGAGATAAGTCCTCTCTTGGTTTGAGCTCCCACCTTTTCAGTGAACTCTTACATTTTGGGGGATCTGCTCTTGTAAAGGACATCCTTTCTGGTGAGTATTCTTTTGGTTTAATTTTTGGTTTGGTTATTTGTGCATGAATTTAATCTCATTAGGAAACAAGTTAAGTTGAATAGACCAACTAGTGAATTAATCCGTCTCCAAAATATACGTTTTTGGCATTTACCTGTTTATTTTGAAACTCTTTGTAAGAAATGTAAACCTGTAATGATAATCTCTGCTTTGTAAGGATATCTCCCTCTCTGACACCTAAAACACTAGATGCTTTCACAAAGCAAAAGGAAGAGACCTAAATCTATCTATCTGTGTAAACTCACCCTTGACCATTTCATTTTGAAGGCTTCCTATATATGCTTTTTTTCATCTCAACAAATAGTGGTGTTTAAGTTCTGTACCTTTGAGATTTAAATTTTCTACATTCCTTCACCTAAAAATCATCTCTTTGGAAGTACAAATTTTGGGTGGCCTAACTAACACTTGTTTATGGGCCAATTGAACAGATCATTAAAAGACAGATAGTCTGAAAGAGGGAGTAAAACTACTTGCAAGCCAGGCAAATAACAATTCTTAATGCAAGTTGTAAGTTCTTCCTCTGTCTGTATTTTTCTACGTGTGTGTGTGTGTGTGTGCGTATGTACAATTTTTTCTACCAAAATTCATAAACGGCTCTACTTAATTGGCTTACAGAGAAAACATAAGTGTTTAAACTAAGAATTCTCTCAGAAAAACAGAAACTCAATTGCCTTTTGGCTTATGTGATGAAATAATCTTTGGCAGACAAAGCTAGTTTTAAAATTTGTTGGCAAAATAAAAACAAATATTTTCAGAATTGTCAGCATTAATTACAATGTACAGATACAGTTTTTAAACCTAAAGTTACTGGTGAAACAAGCTTGCTATTACTGAGATGTATAATGAATGTCTTAAAGCTATAAATCCACTCATCCTTGTGTTTAAGGAGGAACTGAAGCACAATTGTTAAGAACAAGTGAATTAGGTGAATATAAATTGACAAAAGGTTGATAATAAAGTTGTCAGAATTTCAAAAATAATTTAGTGTGACTTGAAATCTTAAAATCATGTTATATTAAATTAAGTAACACTTTACTGATTTAATATTTGAGTCATTTCTAAGGAAAATACTGAAATATCAATTGCTTAACAGAAGTTTAAAATATACGTAATTTGGCATCTTGGTTTCACATGTTATGGAAAAGCTAAACATATTTGGGCCTGTTAATTAAAGGCATAAAAATTATTTTATGAGATGGTGTTCATCTGCAAAATACTAACATGATGCACTTCAAAATGCTTACTAATTTTCACTAGAAATTAAGGTTACTAAGAGTTAATTAAAATTAATATTAGAGTAATTTAAACTAGAAATAATGAAGGGAAACAAATCTGTACGTGAGGGAAGGAAAACACATACAGAAAGTTATAAGTAAGAGGTTGTGTTTTTGTTAAGGGAAAAAGAGAGTATTTTTTGTCTAAAAGTAGAATGTCTTACTGTTCCAAAAAGAAAAAGAGAAAAAATATAGACAAAAACTGAATAAGATAACTGGATGACAAATTTATAGAAAGTTTGTGGAAGATTAATCTTGTGAAAAGAATTTTATGTGTGACCAAGTTGGCTAAAGTTAAAAGGAAATTATTTATAAATATTCTGAAAACTTGAGCATTATTATCAAAAGTACAGGAATGGAAAACTTGAAATTTGTCCCCTGTGCTGAAACAACAAGCTTTTCTTTGAGTATTGACCTGCTCTTAATAGACAATAGTGAAATGTTTTCTCTACCTTTTAGATAACTGGCCTAATAAACCAAGATTTTTTGTTTATCAAGGTAATTTCTTATGCTTTATGCTCTCTTTTACTAGGTCTTTGATTACTTGAGAAAAGTGAGTGAGGTGGGGCCAAGATGGTTGACTAGAAGCAGCTAGTGTGTGCCACTCTCACAAATAGCAGGAAGAGTGGTGAGACACTAGCTCTTCAACCGGAACATCCAGGTGGACACATAAGGATTCATCAGTGACATAGTGTGACCTTCGGATCACGGAGAAGAGTGAGACAGATCAACCATTCACCCAGGAGTGGCACAGACCCAGGGGAATCCCCCTACAAGAAAATGGTGAGTGAGTGAGAGTCCCGTGGGATGCATATTTCTGCCACGAACCTTTGAATCCCTGGGCTCAGGAGATACCCCAGCTGGGGTCTCCAGACCAAAACAGAGAGCCATGTGGAGTCTGGGTAGAGCTGCTTCTTAGGTAGGTGTGGAGTCCCAGTAGCATTTGTTCCCTGGGTACCCCAAAACCAGGGGCTGCAGCTCCAGCAATTGGGAAGGCCAAGTTTTCTTGCACGCTCCCCAGAAAAGGGGCCAAGTCCATGGGGCTGAGCAGTGATAGACTGCAGACCTCACCACCACTGAACCTTGTAGGATAAGGCCCACTAGCCTGGGATGCTAGTGAGGCCACCCTAGTCCTCCTGAGTTCTCCAGCTGGGAGCAGCTCTACACTTCTCCGGCATGCAGCTCCCAAAGAGAGAGGCAGTCCACCTTTTTGCTGT
This sequence comes from Homo sapiens, assembly GCF_000001405.40. Classification (NCBI taxonomy): domain Eukaryota; kingdom Metazoa; phylum Chordata; class Mammalia; order Primates; family Hominidae; genus Homo; species Homo sapiens. The sequence goes on along the minus strand of NW_025791777.1, from coordinate 1,807,938 downwards.
CTCGCAACCCTCCCTCCTGCTGCTCTCAGGCTTGGGAGGGTGCACAGCAATTAGGGACTATCACAGAACCCCAGCACAGTGCATCTGGTGAACTTAAAAAAATCAACAAGTGAAAAACAAACAATCCCATTTAAACGTACACAAAGTACATGAACGGACACTTTCAAAGGAGGGCATACATGTGGCCAGAAAGCATATGACAAAATGCTCAACATCACTAATCATTAGAGAAATGCAAATCAAAACCACAATGAGATACCATCTCACACCAATGAGAATGGCTATTATTAAAAACTCAAAAAATAAGAGATGCTAGTGAGGTTGTGGAGAAAAGGGAATGATTATACAGTGATGGTGGGAATGTAAGGTAGTTCAGCCATTGTGGAAAGCAGTGTGGCCATTTCTCAAAGAACTCAAAGCAGAAGTGCCATTCAACTCATCAATCCTACTGTTGAGTATATACCAAAAGAAATACAAATCATTCTACCATAAAGACACATGCACGTGTGTGTTCATTGCAGCACTTTTCACAATAGCAAAGACATGGAATCAACCTAAATGCCCATCAGTGGTAGACTGGATGAAGAAATGTGGTAGATATACAACATGGAATACTATGCAGCCATAAAAAGAATGAGATCATCTCTTTTCCAGCAACATGAGTGGAGCTGGAGGCCATTATCCTAGAAAACCCAATACCATATGTTCTCACTTATAAGGGGAGCTAAACATTGAGTACATATGGACACAAATGGAACAACAGACACTGGGCCTACTTTAGAGTGGAGGGAGGAAGGAGGATGAAAATTTAAAAATTACCTACTGGGTACTATGCTTATTATCTGGGTTATGAAATAATCTACACACCAAACCCCGTGACACACAATTTACCTATATAAATGCGTAAGTAACCCACATGTGTACCCTGAACCTAAAATAAAAGTTAAAAAAAGAGAAAAGTAAATGTTCTCAGTATTAAAAAGCTATGTTTTTGTTGACAATTATGTAAATTTCTACATTTATTTTTTGAAATCTTTTAATTTTCATTTTGGTTACCTGTTATCGTACTCTGATAAAGTGTTTTAAACTGTTTGATGTTTTTGACAAACTTCCCAAAATAATATTTTAAATTAACTCTTTTTGCCCTCAAGTTAATTTTGATATTTCTCATTTGGACCCCTGGAAAGATCAAAGAATGTGTATCTCACATTGTAAAGAGATATATTAAACTAATGAGACTTACTTGATATATTAAATTATATAGGGAGTATTGTCAAATACTAAGTGGTGCTAAACCTTCTTTAAGTTGTATTTCAGAATGTTATTGATATGTGTTACAAAATAAATTCTTCAAAATCTGATATGTTATCGGTCATAATCTTGGTTATTATCTTCAAGTTTTGTATGCCACAGAAATAAACAAATTTCTTTGTCAATTACATTATTATTATAATAAACTCCATGAGATTTTTAACCATGGCCGCTCTAAGTCTGTCATCCACAGGGACCGACTGCTTTCATTCTTTTCTAAAAGCATTTGCCATCAGCTACAATAAAAAATTGCTTCTTCTCTGAAACTGATGGTCCATTAAGGTTTAACCCATATACTCCTCTATATACCTCTACAGCCTCCCCAAATCAAGTTGATATATTCCCCTAGCAGTCTGTGCAATGGAGACCAACATTACATTCTTTTAGATTGTTTTAAATTACATTTTTGAACTTCCAGTTTATTACATACCAAGAGTTGATTACAACCTCCTTGTTTCATAAGTGGAAGCTATGTTAGGGTTGGATGTGGGTGCCATAATTTCTTCAAGGATCCTGGACAGAGACCCACATCAGGATCAGAAACCCTACGATAGCATTGCAGATCTCATGGCTCAATAATCCTTGAAGATTATAATTTTCATCCTACTATCAGTTGCACTTTCTGTCACTTTTACTGCATTAAGTCTCCCGGTATCAAACAGAGCTCTGTGGTGTCACTGACTGAGGAATGGAATAGAGATGTCCACAAGGGGTCTTGATATCATGACTGCACAGAGATGTGAAAGGAGAGACCACTTCCTCACCACCCAGCTACTTCACTTCTCTCCCGGTATCAGCCCTATAGTCGGACCTAGGCTTTCAGAAGTGTAAGTGTGCAAACAAGTTTCGGTTGGACTTTAAGAGGACACTTTGTCATAGAAGAAAATCCAGTATCTCTAAGCTGGTTTTCTTTTCAGGAAAACATCCTGAGGGACCAGTAAGCAGGGAGATCCTTTTTCTAGTTTGCCTGTAGAGTTAGGAAGACAGTTGATTTTTCAGTCTTTTACAGGATGCTTAAACAAAGCTGTGTAATTACATAAGGTGGATCTTTATCTTGCCTAAGAAGATAAAGTGGGAATCTTCACTCCGCCAGGGCAAATTTCCAAAGAGCTCATTTATTCCATGTCTTTCAAACTTTCATGAGATACATTTCTCTTTCACATTGTTGCTGATTTCCAAACAGCTGTCAGCTAGTTTTTTCCTCCCCCTTTCCTATTCTTCACTATTTTGATAGCAAAGCTCATAGAATTAGAGGACTTAGAAGATGCTTTGTAAACATTGCCACAAAGGAACTGCTGAAATGATTCACAGGAAGACTGGTCAGTTGGGAGAAAGATCCTAAAGATGTTACACTGGTTTTCAACAACATGCTTAGAGAATTCTTGAAGCAGATAGCTGTCAACCCAGTGAAAACAACATTTTGATTTATTTTTTTTTTAAGTTTATGGTGATTGTGTCGGTTTCTAAAATAAGCAAATATTCAAGTCAAGAGATGTTTTGTTTTTTCTTCTGCCAAGAATGGGGTTAGGGGAGCAAAGACACAATTTGGGAAAGGACATATGTGCTATTATAGGGATCACCTTTAAGTTTCTGGGAAGGAATGGGCACGGGTGAGTAGGTTGGCTCAACATTGTCCTGCACTGCTTATTAGGACCTGAGACATGCAAGGGAAATGTGGGTGACATCAGGGCACCCAGGGCACAGCCCCACTAACTGCTGTGCTGAGTTTCTGTAGCCTGCCACGTTTCCCTTGGTGAAGTAAATGAAGATCAAGGAGTCATTTTATGATGTCCTGGTGCTGAGAATAATAAATGTCTTGTTACAAACAGATGTAACAATGGTTTTTTTCTGGATTATTATCAGGGTGGTCAGCTCTGGGTTAAGCACCCACATCCAATTTGTACAATAATATTGATACATAGGGCTACGCTTATTACTGCTCAAGCATTCTGTTTTAATAATTGTGTTTTCTTCTAAAGGTTAAATAAAAGCAAAAAATGGGGCTAAACTATCAAACTGTTCCCCTATTTGTTTTCTCCAGTGTACAACATATATATGTATATATTTTATTTTATTGAAGATGCAGTAGGATACCTGCCATTTAAGAAAATAAATAGAAAATTTAAAATCCCAACAAATGAGAAAAAGAAATTCAGTACCCAAGAATAGGGCTGGTCCAGCACCACCCCGAAGTAGGCTGTGGTTTATGGACTGAAGAGCCTTGCTCCCTTTACATTCGCTCATGCTCCCACACAAGGCTAGCAGTAGAAATGCTTGAATTCTGCTTGGCTTGCCAAGGGGACTCAGGAGTCAACCAAGGGAACTATTTGGCTCCACGAGGAATGGACACCTCAGGATGCTTCCTGAACAGGGCCTAGTCAGGAAGTAGCCTGGATGTGCATAGTCATGGTCACCTTATGAAAATGTGTGGCAGGTGGCTCTCAGGAAAAACACCAAGCCTGGATCATCTGTGTGGCAGCTTTGCCTGGGGAGGTAACAGCTCCAAATTGAAACTGAACTGCATCCTACATGCTTTACCAAAGCAGTGATGAGAGTGATCAGTGCATGTGGTGTGAGTGGTAGGTTTAAAAAAAAGGGAATGTTTTACGCTCAGTGTTTCCTCTGTCTTTGGGCTACTCAATCTGGACAATAGGTAACCATTCTTTTCAAGGAATCAACCCAACTTTGCTGGCTTGGTTTGTGGTTTGTTTCATCCCTAGCTATGAGCATGCTTTGGTCTATAAACGTGGCTTGTCTCATAATACATTCCCTTTCTGTAATTTTTTAAATTTTTTATTTCCATAGGTTTTTGGAGAACATGAGGTATTTGGTTACATGAGTAAGTTCTTTAGTGGTGATTTGTGAGATTTTGGTGCACACATCACCCGAGCAGTATACACTGAACTCAATTTGTAGTCTTTTACCCCTCATGCCTTTCCCACTCTTTCCCTTGAGTCCCCAAAGTCCACTGTATCATTCTTATGCCTTTGCATCTGCATAGCTTAGCTCCCACTTAAGAGTGAGAACATGCAATGTTTGGTTTTCCATTCCTGAGATACTTCACTTAGAATAATAGTCTCCAATCCCATCCAGGTTATTATGAATGCCATTAATTCATTCCTTTTTATGGCTGAATAGTATTCCATTACATATATGTATTTATGCATATATATATATATACATATGCATATATATATACATATACATACACACACACACACACACACACACACACATAAATATATACCACAGTTTATTCACTCATTGATTCACGGGCATTTAGGCTGGTTCCACATTTTTGCAATTGCTAATTGTGCTGTTATAAACGTGCATGTGCAAGTATCTTTTTTGTGTAATGACTTCTTTTCCTCTGGGTAGATAACCAGTAAGATTGCTGGATCAAATGGTAGTTCTACTTTTATGAATTGTCCTTGTTTTTCTTTAAAAGTTAATACTTTTGATCACTATAGTTTGTTAGTGTTGGATTGTTTCCACTTTGAAATTTCTAAACTTTTTCCCTTCATAATGTTAAAACAAGTTATGTTAGATGCCCTTTCAACATGAAAGGTCTGTAGTTAAGATATTACATATATTTTATTGTTTATAATAAAAATCTAGACATAAGAAGTGCCAAGTGTTAATTATAATATTTTGCACAGTATCTTTTTTCCCATGATGTGTTAATATCTACAATTTCATTAAATGTTGATGTTATTCTCTACTGAGATTCAGAAGCCTAGGGAGCTATGTGTTCATTTTGGTTATTTTTGTTGTTATTTCCCTGAAGCAAAAGACTACATGGCCTTCAGTGCAACAACCTCAGTCCAATTCTGAAGTTTATTATACTTGCTTGCCTCTTGGCTATTTAACTTCTGAGTGCAAATCATTGAACTCCCTAATGAAGTATTGTAGAGAATAAATTAAAATGAATAAAGAAAAATACTTCCTCTTCAAGGAGGTTCATGAAAAGGACTCTAACAAGTATGCTGGAATTTAGATTTCTTATGAGTTTAAGATTATACCACTGGACTGGGAAAGAATTTCCAGGACTCTAATGAAGAAACGATGGCTTCTTAAAACATCTAACCCAGATCAAGTAGAATAAGTTTAATGAATGGGACTAAACAAACTGATGGCAATATTTTCGAGTGACTTTTTGTTTAACATTTTGCTGTTTTTTTTAAATTTTTTGTTTTCCAGATTTGAGAAAACTTTTAAAAAGCTATCTATAGCATACAGCAATTTGGTAAAGTATACTTTTATAAATAAAAATGGAAATATTTATTTTTTCTTCCTACCTGCGGCTGCAGTCTTCAGAGAGCTCTTATTGATATTTTTATTTTATGGCAACATAGTTATTTGCATTAATTCAATAAAAATCTATTCTCTTTGTAACAGGATAGAATTACAAACATTGGTTATATTATAAATGGTTTGACTTGAATGTGATATTTGAGACTATGCACAGGATGCCTAGCTTCAAGGATTCCCAAGCTCACAGTGAGTGAATAAACATTTTTACCTCTTGACAGGCCAGGAACCTCCAGATATATTGGAGACCTCAAGAAGAGAGAAATTCATGCAGATTTTTAGATACTGCAGCCAAAGTCTGATGTTCGCCCTCCTTTGACTTCTGACCCTTGAAAGGCTTTTAAAAGTCTAATCTGAGATTTCTTATCAAAAGTTCCATCAAAATAAACTTAAAAACAGCCCATGTTTCATCCCTTTTCTTGCTATACTGTTGTCAATAATCATGCCAAGTTTAATGAGACTAAACTTATTCAGCAGACAAATTAGTCTTACTCTGATTATCTTTAGTAGAAATAGGGATGATTGTACAGAGAAAAATTATGTTTCTGAAGAAAAACTGCAGTACACCTGTTAGTAGATTGTAGTTTTCTTTGTTGTTTTCAAGTTTTTGTCATCTATCTCTAAATTAGACAGGGCACTTAATTATTCTAATTTCCTCCAACGTCTGGCTATGATTCTCCAACTAAGAACATAAACTGCCTTGTTCCTAAAGTCCTACAAGTTGGAGCCAGAAAACTCCATGTAAATTTCAAGAGAGAAATCTCATGGCTATTGTGTGGGCTACAAAGAGAATTGACTAAAATGCCCCATGCTATACCCAGGAACATTCAAACTACAAACCAGAGTAAGAAGTTGATGACATCACAGTGTGGAAAGCTTTTCCCAAGACATTGTAACAAAACTGGACTCTTATCCTTCTTATTTTTTTTTTTCTTGCTTATGCCTACATTTTTCACTTGGCAGAATAACGCTGTGGTTAGAATTTCACATTCAGTAGCTTCCGTAACTGAATGAAGTTTTGGATCTGTCGTGTCAAACCCACATCTTTACATGACCTAAGGGATCCTTTAGTCCACCCAGTGGGTAACTATGGCAACATCCCTAATTTATTTGCCACCTTGGGTTTCGTTGCAGGCTTCACCGCAAAGGCTATTGCCGCCCAGCAGTGCTCATTAAAGTATCTTGCTGAGTAGCCGTAGATAACACAACAGGACAGGATGAGATAACTCTCAATTATCTACTGGTTGAACAAGAATGTCTGTGCCATTGCTAATAACTACATGCTGTACCTGAATATATTTCTCTGGGGAAGTCAAGACCTAATTGCATAAAATAGCAAGACAGGCTTTATGGCTACAACAGATCTCACTCAGTCTCACATAGACTTTTGATTCATTAGTTGGCTGCCTTTGGGTCCATGTTCATAGACAATATTTCATGTTACTATTAATTTTGTACCGCATCATTCTTTTTAAACTTTTTATCTGTTTCCTGTCCAACCTCTGCAGAAATGATGCATCTAACAGAGTAACACTGGTCCAGAACTTCCAAATGGTAGTCAATGCCTATGGAACTGACAAAATTGAACTTAGCAATGAACTCCAGGCAGATTTATCCTGAGAGCCACTCCTTCTGAACCTCTTTGTTTCTTAAATGTGACTAATAGGGTTTTGACATCTGCTCTTAGTTGCTGGCCATTCACCTCTGATGCAGGATCAGACTGACTAGGAAAGGTCCACTCCAGCACCAAGAAACAATCAAAACCTAACTATAGGCTGATTAATCAGCAATGCTTTCAGAAAAAATTCTTGGTCAAAGGGGGGAAATGTTAAAGTTACAAGCAAAGAAGTTGACTCACTGAAGTCAAACCACAACAAAATGGAGCTGGGAGAGTATAAAAGAAGGCCCTTCATGCATGGATGTCTCTAAAAGAATTATTGCAAGGACTCCCTGAAAACTACAAAAATTTTAGATACGACGCTTCTATGAAGACATCTTCCCAGCAATAGCCAGTATCACCGATGAGTATTTGTCCATACCAAGCAATAAGCTTCTGGGGCCAAAGAGGTTTATTTTAAAATAATTTACATGAACTTCACCTTTTTTTTTCTTTATTTCTTCTTCTTCTTCAAAAAACAAACAAAAGTGATATATGTGCAGAACGTGCAGGTTTGTTACATAGGTATACGTATGCCATGGTGGTTTGCTACACTTTTCAACCTATCATCTAAGTTCCCTCCCCTCACCCCCCAACCTCCAACAGGCCCCAGCGTGTGTTGTTTCCTTCTCTGTGTCCATTTGTTCTCAATGTTCGAATCCCACTTACGAATAAGAACATGCGGTATTTGGTTTTCTGTTCCTGTGTTAGTTTGCTGAGGATGACGGCTTCCAGTTTCATCCATGTTTCTGCAAAGGACATGCTCTCATTCCTTTTTTATAGCTGCGTAGTATTCCATGGTGTATGTGTACCACATTTTCTTTATCCAGTCTATCAGTGATGGGCATTTGGGTTGGGTCCATGTCTTTGCTATTGTAAATAGTGCTGCAATAAATATATATACGTATGTTCCCTTACAGTAGAATGATTTATATTCCTTTGGGTATATACCTAGTAATGGGATTGCTGGGTCAAAAGGTATTTCTAGTTCTAGATCCTTGAGGAATGCCCATACTGTCTTCCACAATGGTTGAATTAATTCACTTTCCCACCAACAGTGTAAGAGCATTCCCATTTCTCCACATCCTCTCCAGTATTTATTGTTTCCTGACTTTTTAATAATCTCCATTCTAATTGGCGTGAAATGGCATCTCATTGTGGTTTTGATTTGCATTTCTCTGGTGATCAGTGATGTTGAGCTTCTTTTGTATGTTTTTTGGCCACGTAAATGTCTTTTTTTGAGACGTGTCTGTTCATATCCTTTGCCCACTTTTTGATAGCGTTGTTTGTCTTTTTCTTGTAAGCATGTTTAAGTCCCTTGTAAATTCTGGATATTCGATCATTGTCAGATGGGTAGATTGCAAAAATTTTTTCCCAGTCTGTAGGTTGCTTGTTCACTTTGATGATAGTTTTTTTTTTTTTTTTTTTTTTTTTTTGCTGTGCAGAAGCTCTTTAGTTTAATTAGATCCCATTGTCAATTTTGGCTTTTGTTGCAATTGCTTTTGGCATTTTTGTCATGAAGTCTTTGCCCACCATGCCTATGTCCTGAATGTTGTTGCCTAGGTTTTCTTCTAGGGTTTTTATGGTTTGGGGTTTTACATTTAAGTCTTTAATCCATCTTGAGTTAATTTTTGTATAAGGTGTAAGGAAGGGGTCCAGTTTCAGTTTCCTGCATATGGCTAGCCAGATTTCCCACATTATTACTGAATATGAGATCCTTTCCCATTGCTTGTTTTTGTCAGGTTTGTTGAAGATCAGGTGGTTGTAGACGTGTGGTGTATTTCTGAGGTCTATGTTCACCTTCATTGGTCTATATGTGTGTTTTGGTACCAGTTCCATGCTGTTTTGGTTACTGAGGCCCTGCAGTAATGAAGTCAGGTAGTGTGATGCCTCCAGTTTTGTTCTTTATGCTTAGGATTGTCTTGGCTATATGGGGTCTTCTTTGATTCCATATGAAATTTCAAATAGGTTTTTCTAATTCTGTGAAGAATGCCAACGGTAGTTTGATGGGGAACTTCACCTTTTACCCTTAAAAAAGCTTCGGCTCCCCCAGCTTTTTCAAATGTGCCTATGGTTCAGTACGGTACACATATCCCAAATTGCAGTTCATTGCTCTTCCCAGATAAACTATTTTGAAAAGTCAGTCTCTCTGCTGTTTATTTTAATAATTTTTAATAGAAGTACATCTTTCTTAAAAGCATAGCAAAAATTTTAAGTACATTCACAATAATAATAATTAGGAAACAAATGATCATTGCTTTGATTTTAAGAATTATTAATTTCTTTAATTTTTCAAGTTGAAATATAGAACATGTTTTATTTAGTTACCAATTTATTTCTGTATTTTTCATGAAACAATTTACTTTGGTAAGAAATTTCAAGGAATCTGTGGCATAAATACATATTTGGTCAATGTTCCTTGACCCAAAGTATTAAGGCTGGGTTGTATTTAATTCAGTGACTAAGTAATTTAGTCAGGTTATTCAATAAATTAATGAGGTAATAATCTATAAATTGTTATAATCTGTCAATCTATAAATCATATGTAAAATTGTATTATAAAAAGCAAATGAGTCTTTCTAACAATAGCTAGTTCCGACAATAAAATAACTTCACTTTTAGTTAGCAAGCCCGTATTACATTTCTAAATATTGAAGTCTGTGCAGTAGTTAATGAACTTTTAGTCAATTATTGAGAAAAAAACTTTTAGTACAGTAGAAGATATAAAAAACATGATTGAGCTCAATTTCTCTTTTTTAAAAAATCACTGATTTCTTGGTCAAACTTTTGCTTCTTTTGGAACTTTTGAACTTTGTGGCCATGTGAAATGGCACTCTGAAACTTCTAGTAGACTCAAATTGAGGTAACTTTCTTGCTCACGACAATTTTATGTCCAGTTTCTAATATAAGCCATTATTTCTAACACATGCCATGGTTCCATGTTTGAACTAATGTTAATACCACCTGCCCCTACATGACTGAGTCTGAGCACATCCCTGGGCCACATCAAGCACCATGGCAGATTAATCATTCCTTATGGTTTTAACAGGCAAGCTGGGGAAAAAAAATAACTGTCTCCTCCAACTTTGGTTATGAGTGAGTTTCTTACCTTTTAATGGTGAAAAATAAACTTATCTGTCATAGGAGAAAATAACATTACACTCATATGGAAGCAGAGGTGAGAAGTGAAGCCTTAGTAGTGATGTCATCGTTGCCAATTACTGAAGCCAGGAAGTTAGGAATCATCAGTCTTTTTCTTTTGAATTAATGTGACAGTAGTCGAGAGAGAGAAAAAAGTAGGCATGCTGTATGTTATTTAGAGGATAAGATCTATAGATTTGAAATTGATTTGGCATAAACCCACAGGAAAGTGAAGAATCAAGCATGTATTCTAAGCTTCTGGCTTGAGCAAGTGAGCAATCAGCAACATCAGCCCTATGACTTACTAGATTTTTACTGAGGTATACTTTGTAATGTAATAGCTGCGAGAAACTGAATATCATTGAAATTTAGAAAAGGTTATGACAATGTCATTGGGTTAATAGATAGCCTTTTCTTACAAAGATTTGTAAAAAATGAGAGGCCCTAGACATTTGCTGTGTATATTATGCATAAAAATACCACCTCCAGTGAATTCGTTTGGAAAAGAAACTCAAAGCAAGGCCAGACAAAGGAAACAAAAAGAAAAGAAACGAAAGGGAAAGGACAGGGAAGAAAAGGCAAGAAAAAACAAGACAGACAAAAAATTGGAAAAATATGACAGAGAGAGCAAGAATTGTATATATCATAATTTTATAATATTTTAAATTTATAAAATTATTTTTTGACTTTTTTTAATTCAAGAAGACCCTGGATATAAGTCCATCAGTATATAAATAATTGCTAAGAACTGGGACTAAATTTTAAATAAACTACACTGTTGAAAAAGCCAATATTTTCAAGAAAATTGACCAAAAGGTATCCTTGTCTTCATTTCCACTGACATCTTATGACTGCCATATTTTTTCAGCTATGGCTCTTTTTCTACCAATGGCATGTCACAAAAATGTGTGAACCTCTGGTCACTCTAATTAGTCATACCAATATTGCATAATTTTACCTCAGAATGTTTTTTCCAACTACATTCTTTCTCCAGGGGCATTTATATTCAATGTTTTTTCCAGGGGCATTTACATTCTGAATACCGTGCCTCAAAGTCAAACTGGTTAGCATTACAATCTTGTCTGGTATTATATATGCATTTATTAATGTACAAATTGACCTCAGAAATAGAATATATTTGTCAGGAGTTTTAGGTCTTGTGTTCCCAACACCTAACAATAGATACTTGTTGAATAAATTATGAAAGGGAAAAATAATTTTTAAGAAATTTTGAAAACTTAAAAAGGAAACAAAGGTGTCACAATGGAAACAAAATTTCACTTTTTTTCCTCTGAGTTTAGAGTAAATCTCAGATTCAAACACATCTGAGGATGTACAATTATCAATTATGTAATTCCAAGGGAAAGTAATTTGTACTTACAGGTTAGATATGATAATCAATTCACTTAATTCTACTCGTTTCCTTTAAAAAAAAAAAAAAGAGGCTGTCAGAAATAATACATCACAGTAAAACCTCCTATCAAACAAGAAAAGATTGTATTTGGGAAAACATTTTCATAGACCTAAATTGAGTAATGTTTCCAACTTACATTTCACCAGTTAAGCTTCCCATTAGAAAATGTGTTTGTATGACACCAGTTCCACTTGCATTTTTTTCCCATAGGTTTCCCAGCAGACGTTTACAATCCTTTAGTGATGTTATAGCCAGAATTGTATTAGGTAATAATATAAAATCCCTAAATTTTATGTACAAACCTTCACTGATATTTTTAGTTATCATGAAAGAATCCTTGTATTTATTTCTATTCTAATTCTCCTCATGTCATTGGTATTTTATATGTATTCATTGTAAACATGTGTTGAATGTTCTAAATTTATACAAGCAAAACAATGTACATATTCTAGAGCTTAATATTTTCCCTCTCCCTGTTTTTTTTTCCGTGGCTTTCTCTTGCTTTCACTATTGCAAACTCTGACCCTGAGAGGCAAGAGTCGTGACCATTTAGTAAGATGTATCGTTGAGTATCATAAAATAGTTGGATAGTCTGCTATTTTTTTATAGTAGCAAAAATAGAATGTTCATATGCTTGCCCATGATTTTTATACATTTTTAAATTTGTCTACCACATGCCTAAATTTACCAAATTAAGTCCGTGTATATAAAACATTTGCACAAATGTTACTCAAGTTGTCTGAAATAAAAATACATGTATTTTGCAATTTAGAGCACATGACACTAAAGATGTATAGCTCCGTTAACTCACCTTCTGAACAAATTTCAGCAAGAAATTTCAGAATGAATATAAAAAAGTTAAGAAATATTCTAATATATAGTAGCTGAAAAGTTTACAGAAGTAAAGAAGAAAGACACAAATTAGTAGATTCTGAAGAATTATCTAAACGAACCCATAACTATTCTCTTTATTTTGGATATTCTATTGTTTCCTTATAATTTGTTTATAAGTTTCCTTATAAATAAACAAATTATAAGGAAACAGTGGAATATCCAAAACAGAATATGCAAGCCAATTAACAATCACCATTTTTACCAACAAAAATATTGAAAGTCAGAAAATTGTGGAATATCTTTGAAGTGCTAATAAATGATAACGGCAAATCTAGAATTTTATGTCAATTAGATTTAGAATTCAAGAGCAGATCAAAATAGAGACATCTTCAGACAATCCAAAAACTGAGAGTTTACTACCAAGAATAGTAACTTTTACAGTATGTACCATAGAATAAAGGATAATTAACTGGATGTAAATTCCAAAATATTAGAAGAAGAAAGGATGTGAAAAAACATATATAAGCAGTCACAATTTTATTTAACAAACACACCAACAATATGTGATTTGTGGGAATAAGAAAAACAACATGAATATAAAATAATGAACAATTTGTAGCAAATATTTTTAAATAATTGCAATTAAAGAGCCCTAAGACTTTGTATTGTTTGGGCTTGGTGTTAGTAAACTTTATATTTTATGTTAATAATGTTTATTAGAATATCAAAATTGCCTAGCAAAAGAAAACTGATAATGTGAATAATTTCCAAAATAAAAGAGATAAGTTACAAAAAATGTTAAAGTAAACAAATGCAAAACAAGGCAAAAAAAAAAAAATCAAAGTGAGAAAGACCAGCAAAGTGAATAAAAGGAAGAAAATATGACTTTAAATATAAAAAAATAAATAAATGAAAACCTAAAAAATAACATGCAAGTTGCCAAAAGAAAACGATTTACTTGACTGAATAAAGGTCGTTAAAGGATTTCTTCAGCTGGTGAGCACCAGGCAAACCTGAAGACTAGGTGGTTCCAGACTGAAGTAGGATCAGGCGTCTAACAGAAGTCTGTGGAGTATGCCTGGTTTAGGCTGGACAGATATTTTCTGCTTTAACTGAAGTTGAGTTTAGGTTTTTGGGTTCTTTTCTGTTTGTTTTTGTTTTATCTGTTTATGTTCCACTTTCAGAGTCTCATTATCCATCAGAACAATATTATATGAGAACAATCTTTGCAGCTGATGGGCTAACCACGTTCCCTGGGTGGGGCAGGGGAAGTAGACAAGAATAAGAATGAAGTGGATGTAAAGGAAGAAGGCAAGGGGCGGGGGATTATTACCCTCTAGTATGTTTGTTTTAATCGCTTTACACGGTTACTAGTTTTCAAATTTACTAAATATTTTATATGATTCAAATCATTAACTGAGAAATTTCTTTCAAATTCAGTGCTCTTTGCAGAGTACTGGCTAGATGTTGGAATCCAAAAATGAACTGTGAAAAAAGGCCCGTGTCCTCAGGAACTTATGTTCAGAAGAAATGGAAAAACAAAATTAAATAAGTGGATAAATACATGTGTGTTGTTTTACTAAGACCTTATTTATTAAATATTTTGCTAAGCCTATAATATTAAATCAGCTATTTATATATCTCTATATAACAATGGTTCTAGAGTCAGGAGGTTAACCTTGTGGATTCCTCAGTGACCTTGAGTAATCACTCAACCAAAATACATTTGTATTTAAATACGAACATAAGTTCGAACATTACGTTGTTACCCTAGCCACTTCACAAAATACGTTCGAACACTAGGTTGTTACCCTAGACACTTCACAAAATATTTGAAAAACACATGGATAGACAATTTGATGATTCTATAAATCTGGTAAATGAATTAGAAATATTATAAAAGGTTTTTCTGAGAGGATACCATCGAGCAAAAAGAAAATGACTAGCATTTGACACTATGTAACTTTAAATCTATATTTCAGGGACCTCTGTCACTTTCTTGGGGAATTGAATCACCTATTCCTACTTAGCAGCATGAAAATGAGTTGAATCTCCAGGTTATAGCATTTGAAGGCATGCCTGAGAGGAGCAGATTCAAAAATCAACAGGTGGTTGATGTTTTCTGTGGGGAGCATTCCTGCCTCAGTCCTGCTGCTGTGACCCATTCCTAAACAGCTTTGGGGTCTACAGTCCCCCTTGGTACCTGCTGGGGATTTGTTCCAGGACCACCACCAATCCTACCACCATCATCCCTTCATAGCAAAAGCCAGAGATGCTCAAGTTTCTTATATAAAATGGCCTAGTATTTGCATATAACTTACACAACCCTCTTGTATACTTTCTATCATTTCCAGATTATTACTTACATTAATAATACTGAATACAATATAAATGCTATGCACATAATTGTTATAAGGATTGTTTTTTATTTGCATTGTTTTATTGTTGTATTTCTTTTTAAAAATTATTCTTGGTATTTCTTTTAACAAATATGTTTGATTCATGGTTAGTTAAATCCACCCACAATGGGGGTATGGAGGGTCAGCTGTATTCAGGAATTTGCATTAACAGACTTAAGAGCCTAGTAGATTCTTTGCTTAAATGAACTCTGTGCAGACACAGCATTCAACATTTCTATTTTGATACTTTAAGCAGACTGCAGTGTTTGACAAGCTATTTCAGTAATATGCAATAATCTTTACAAAATAGACATAGATGTTCTGTGACCCCAAATTCTCTGAAACTCTAAACTCAATTATTGAATCTATAGTGGTGTTTCTGATCAGATTACAAGATGAAGGAAGCAATGGAACTTGGCCTAATGTAATGAAAAATATTGCTATCTCTCCACTGATTATTTTGGATGATGGGAGAGCTGTATAGCCATTTAACTAAAGAGGAATCCTTTCAGGAACTACTCTGAAGTACTTTAAGAGATGGAGTTGCTGAAGAAAAAAGATTGAAAACAATTGGCTTAGCTGTTCAGAGCATGGCAAGAATGTAACTATAATCTGTCATTGTGTGGGCAGACAGATGGCCTGAAAATTGAATAAATTGGAAATCACTGGAAGGCAGCTATTTTGTCCTTGAGTGCATTAGGTATCTTGGAAAAATGTTATTAAATGGTGAACAATTGCTATCGAAAAGTTTCTAGTTGTTTGGAACATAGAGTTACATAAAGTCAAGATTCTATTATTATTCTAATAATAGATAAAATCCGAATGTAAAGAAAATGTTTCCTATGAACTATGTAATTTAATTCTTATCAGAGCAATACTTTAAACAATTATTTGATTAGCCTGTGTTTGTGAATGTATATAAAGTAAGCAATAACCTTATTTTCTCCTCTTTGTAATTTAATTCATTAGAAATTGAGAATCTCAGACTTCTCTCCAGCCCTATTAAATCTGCATCTTCATTTCCAGGTCACTCATACACTGTTTAACTTTGAGAAGCACTGTTGTATATTGTCTTGAGAGTCCACACTATGAAATAAATTGGCCCTTATTTACTCCTCAATTGAAATTCTTCAGACTTTCTTAAAGTTTCTAAATAAGTCCCAGTTAGTGGAAATGAACTGATTTTAGTTTAATTTTTTTTTATCATGCATTGCTGTCCAAAAGAAGAAAGCTTATTTCTGCCAACTTCTTCTTATCCTCAACTTCCAACCACTGTCACGTCTGTCTTCTTTCTTTTTAATATTTTCAGGTGAATTAGAGGTTTGTCAACCGTAAGAATGAAATATATGGTTTATGGCCTATTTTTATGTAACTGGTCATTCTGAGATCTGGAAAACACTACCTGTGTTTATCTGCAACTAAAATCTAGACACCTGAGCCTACACTGCATAGCGAAACAGGTCACTAGAAAAACACAAGCAATTTAGAAAGGCTTTTAATATTGAACAGTTGCATTTTGTTTCTATTCATGTCTATCGCTTTCTCTTTTTTATTCTAAATTGCTTTATTATATTCTATATTTAATATTCTATCATTAACATGTCAATGACAGTCAATAATAATTGAGGACTCAGGTTTTGTCAATACACTGATTTATAA